>NC_000023.11:89735269-90038299 GCF_000001405.40 Homo sapiens | reverse complement strand
TTGCTTGTGTGTAGAGAGTGTATTGCTTCCTCAGATTTCACTGTTTTCATCTCCTTTTCCATCTTAGTCTTTATTCCTTAAGACCAAAATACCCTTTACAAATGCTCTAGAAGATCTGTATTGTGTAGAATGATCATGTATTTATAAAAATTTTACAAGTTTAGATTATAAAATGAAAAAGAAGATCGTGTGTTTTGTGGGTATTTTTCATGTTTGGATATTTTTTCTCCCTTCACTGAACCCTTCCGATTCTTTCAAACTATTGCCAGGTAGTGTTTTTAGGGTTTTTAATTGGACTATTAATATGAACTTAAAGAAGCTGTTACCAATTATTGGCTCTGTCATCTGAAATTTAACCACTTAATTTAAAGTTATAATTTTAGAATTTGTTTTTGTTGTTTTACCTTAAGAAACACACTAAATCACTGTAAAAACGAAAAGCTTTGGATAAAAACATTTATTCATAATAAAAATCAGCAACAGACTAGGCATTGAAGGAACATGTTTCAAAATAATAGAGTTGTCTATGACAAACCCACAGCCCAAATTATACTGAATGGTAAAAAGCTGGAAACATTCCCCTTGAGAACTGGAAGAAGACTTGGATGCCCACTTTCACCATGCCAATTCAACATAGTGCAGGAAGTCCTACCCAGAGAAATCAGGCAAGAGAAAAAAATAAAAGGCATCCAAATAGAAAAAGAAAGTCAAACTGTCTCTCTCCTCAGATGATATGATTCTTTACCTAGTAAACACTAAAGACTCCATCAAACAGCTCCTGGTACTCATAAATGACTTCAGTAAAATTTCTGTATACAAAATCAATCTGCAAAACTCAGTAGCATTTCTATATACCAATAGCATTCAAACTGAGAACCAAATCAGTAATGCCATCCCAATTACAACAGCCACACTAAAAAAATACCTAGAAATACATCTAACCAATGAGGGGAGGATCTCTACAAGGAGAACTACAAAACATTGATTTAAAAAAAAAATCAGAGATGACACAAACAAATAAGAAAACATTTTATGCTCATGGATTGAATGAATCACTGTTGTTAAAAAGGGCATACTATCTAAAGTTATTTACAAGTTGAACACTATTTCCATTGAACTCCAAATGTCATTTTGTTTGCAGAATTAGAAAAAAAACTATTATAAAGTTTGTATGGAACTGCAAAAAAGAGTCAAAGTGGCCAAAGCAATCCTAAGAAAAAAAAAGAAAAAAAAAAAAGCCAGAGGCATCTCATTACCTGACTCAAAATGGATATCATAACCAAAACAGCATGATACTGGTACAAAATCAGACACTTAAACCAATAGAACAGAATAGATAACCCCGAAATAAAGCTGCACAACTGCAGCCATTTTGGAAACTTCTCAAAGAATATAAATTAGAGCAATCATTAAACCCAGCAGTTCCATTACTGGGTATATACTCACATAAGATTAAATCATTTTACCCAGAAGACACATGAACTTTTATGTTTGTTGCCACACTATTCACGATAGCAAAGACATGGAATCAATTTAAGTGTCTATCAGTGAGGGACTGGATAAAGAATATGTGGTACAAATACACTATGGAGTACTACACAGCCATAAAAAGGAACAAAATTATATCCTTTGCAGCAACATGGATGCAGCTAGGGGCCATAATCCTAAAGCAAATTAACACCAGAATACAAACCAAATACTGTGCAGTCACTTATAAGTGGGAGCTAAACATTCAGTACTCTTGGACATAAGGATGGCAATAATAAACACTGGGAACTAATGGCAAGGGAAGGAAGGCTGGGGGCAAGAGCTGAAAAAGTAACTATTGTGTATTATGCTCACTACCTGGGTGATAGAATCATTTTTACCCTTAACTTCAGCATCATGCAGTATACCCTTATAACAAACCTTCACACATACCCCTTGAATCTAAAGTAATAAAGTTGAAAATATTTTTAAAAAGAAATAATTATAATAAAAGCCCAATTATCTCCATAGAAAACATTGGCAACAGATATTAACAGGAATTCACAGATTTATACAAATGATAAAAATTTGAAAAGTTGCTCAATCTCACTGGTAATCTGAGAAATGCAAATTATAATTATGAAGACATACCAATATTGGACAACAGACTAGCAAAATCTTTGCCTGACATTGCAAAGTGTTGGCAAAAGAATATGAAGCCACAGGAAATCATACACATAGATGAAAGAGTATTACTTTGCACAACCACATTACAGAGTGTTTTAACTATATTTCTAAAGTTGAAGATTTGTACCTTTTTGCCCAGCAATTTCATACCTAAAAAATAATTTAGATCAGAGACCAGCAAGCTTTTTCTGTAAAGGGACGGATGGTAAATATTTTACTTTTTGCACTCCATATATTCTCTGGCATAGCTACTCAACTCTACCATTGGGGCGCAAAAGCAGCCATAGACAATATATAAACAAACAGATGTGATGCTTTCTCCTTTAAAGATCATGTTCTATCTATGCAGAGGAATGATTTTTCCCTTGATAATTAATTGTGAAACTGATTTATCAGCAGGGATATGGGAAACTTGAACAATATAATAAACTAGAGATAACAATCATCTAGAACACTTAACCCAGGAACAGCACAGTACATATTTTTCTTAAGCACATGTGGAATATTCTCCAGGATGGGTAATATATTTGGCCTTAAAAAGTCACGTGGGCCAGGCGTGGTGGCTCACGCCTGTAATCCCAGCACTTTGGGAGGCCAAGGCAGGTGGATCACGAGGTCAGGAGTTCAAGACCAGCCTGGCCAACATAGTGAAACCCCGTCTCTACTAAAAATACAAAAATTACCCAGGTGTGGTGGCGGGCGCCTGTAATCTCAGCTACTCGGGAGGCTGAGGCAGGGGAATTGCTTGAACCCAGGAGGTGGAGGTTGCAGTGAGCCGAGATCGCGCCACTGCACTCCAGCCTGGGTGACAAGAGCAAGACTCCATCTGAAAAAAAAAAAAAAAAAAATCGTGGAATTTTAAAATTTTGAATTACAAAATGTATTTTTTCTGACAACAGTATAATTAGGGATCAACATTTGGGCAATCTACAAACGTTTGAAAAAAAACAACACATTTCTGAATAATCAATGGGTCAAAGGAGAACGCACAAGAAATATTAGAAAAATTTTGAACTGAATTAAAGCAGAAACACACCATATCAAAGTAATGGAATTCAGCTAAATCAGTGCCAAGAGCATAATTTATAGCTATGAAGAACTATTATAGAAAAAATCTGAAATAAAACCCTCAGCCTCCACCTTAAGAAACCAAATGTGTGTTTTTTTGGAAAATTAACAATATTTACAAACATTTATCTATATCGAAACAGAATAAAAGAAAAAATACTTCAATCACTGCAATAAACAAAATGTGTATGCCCCCCCGTTCATGCACTGAAATCCTAATCTCCATGGTGATAGTATTCTTTGAAAATGGAATTAGATGTTATAAACATATATTGCAAACTCTACATAAGGCACAAAAATGTGTTAAAAATAAGTTTAATTAACATGATAGGAGAGGTAATAAATGAAATTTCATATTGCTTTTGGTTAATAGCAGACAGGGAAGAAAAAAAGTAGAAAAAAAAGAAGATGGACCTCAAACAGAAAACAGTTATACATATGACAGATATTAATCTAACTATATCCATAATCACTTTAAATGGGAATGATCTAAATGTTCCAGTAAGAAGACAGAGACTGTCAGAGTGGATTAAAAAAAAAAACACACACAGCTATTGTTTTAAAAGAAATCTACTTTAAATATTGTGTTAGTCAGTTTTCATGCTACTGATAAAGACATAGCTGAGACTGGGTAATTTATTTTTAAAAAATGAGGTTTAATGGACCCACAGTTCCACATGGCTGGAGAGACCTCATCATCGTGGCAAAAAGAAAAAGACACATCTTACATGGCAGCTAGCTAGACAGAAGGAGAACTAAGTGAAAAGGAAAACCCGTTATAAGACCATCAGATCTAGTGAGAGTTATTCATCACCAGAATAGTATGGGGCAAACCGCCCCATGATTAAGTTGTCTCCCACTGGGTCCCTCCCACAACACATGGGAATTATGGGAGCTGCAATTTAAGATGAGGTTTAGTGGGGACACAGCCAAACTATGTCAAATATAAAGAAACAGATATTGAGAGCTCTGAGGTAGTGAGAGTTATATCATGGTAGCAATAAGCTGGAGTAGCTACATTAATTGCAGATGAAATGTAGTTTAGAACAAGAAAATGTATCAGGGATAATAACAGAGTCATACATAGTGACAAAGAGGTCATTTCTGCAAGAAGACATAACAACTATTAATATGTATTTACTTAACAACAGAGCATCAAAATATGTGAGGCAAAACCTAATAGAACTACAAAGAGAAACAAACTCACTATTATAGTTGGAGATTTCAATACTCATCTCTCAGTAATTGATAAGTCCAGGAAGCAGAAAATCAATAAGAATATGGTTGAAATGAACAAACACACTCACTCGATTTGATCTAATTGCGATGCATAGAATACTTCAACAGCATAGAACACACATTCTTCTCAAACTCACGTGAGACATTCATCAATATAGACAGTATCTTGCATCATAAAAATACCTTAGTATTTTTAAAAGACTAGAAATTACAAAAACATAATCTGTACTACAATATAATTAAGTTAGAAAATCAATAACAGAAAAGACAGCTGGAAAATCCCCAAATATTAAACAACACATTTCTATATAACACATTGTTCAAATAAGAAGTCTACAAAAAAATCAAAATCTAGGTGCAAGGATCCTCAACAAAATACTTGCATATCTAACCTGACAACATCTAAAAACCATTATACAGCATTGAATAGTGAGATTTGTCTCAGAAATGCAAGGTTGGCCCAACAAACAAAAATCAATCAATGTAATATACCATATTAATATACTAAAGTACAAAATCCACTTGGTTACATTATTAGACACAGAAAAGACGTTTGGTAAAATCTGTCACCTTATAATAAAAAAAATTCAGCTGACTAGAAATAGAAGATGATTTCCTCAACTTTATAAAGGCCATCCATAAAAACTAAAAACATGACATTGTATTAAATGGTAAAAAAAAAAAAAAATGCTTTCTGCATATGACCTGGAACCAGATAAGAATCTGTTCTCACCATTTTTAGGCAAAATTTAACTAAAAGTTTTAGCCAGGGCAATTTGGCATAAAAGAATAAAAAATACTCAGATTTAAGAGGAAAATAAAATATCATTGGTCGAAAATTAATTTTATGTAAATATAAAAGTCTAAGTAATGTACAAGAGACTTATTGGAACTAATAATTGAGTTAATCACATATAAAAGAAGGTGAATACCCAATAATAAACTGGATTTCTACCTATTAGCAATAAACAACTTGAAATTAAATTAAGAAAACTATTCCATATTAAATAATTTCAAAAATGTAAAATATTTAGAGATAAATTTGGAAACAGAAGTGCAAGAATTGTTCTCTGAAATGTAAAAATTACTGTAAAAAGTGAAATAAGACCTAAATAATTAGAGAGACATCCCATGTTCTTGAATCAAAAGACTTAATATTGTTAAAATAAGAGTATTCTCTAAATTGATCTACAGATTTTATCAAATCCATACTGAAAACCGAGCTGTTTCTTTTTTCTTTTTCTTTTTTTCAGAAATAAAAAAGCGGATCCTAAAATTCATATGGAAATACAAGAGCCCCAAAACAGCAAAAGCAATCTTTAAAAACATGGAAAAGTTTAGAAAACTCACACATCCTGATTCAAAGTATGTTAGTACTCCAGGCATTTTAATACTGGCATAGGCATATAGATCAATAGAACAGAACTGAGGTACTAGAAATATATATTTGTATGATGAATTTATTTAATAAAGTTGCTGCCTCAGAATCAATTTTTTAGGCCTGACACAAATTGTGTATAACTCAGTCAAACCCCATCACTTCTGGCCTAACTAAAACTTCCTTTCCCCGTGTGGTTGTTTGTGATATAGCCCATTTGTTCCTCATCTTGCTGACCTGCAACTTAACACACTGCACAGCCGCTGACTATGATAAAACCCAGTGGTCAATGCCAGAGTTCTGTAAATAAGTTATCCTTTTACGAGTGAGTTTTCTTTAAACTAGCCAATCCACAACCCCTGTGGGAAAGCCTAAGAAATAATGCCCATGGATTTTATAAAGGCGTAGTCCCACAGGCTCTGTTTCTCTTGCTCCCTCCTTGCTGGTTGAACTCCCTGGAGCCTCTGGACTTCTCACTGGCATCCTATTAGCACTCTTGATCTCTCTGGAGCCTGGAAGTAATAAATTTCTTTTGTTTTATGCATTTGGCTTCATTTCTTCATTGTATCTCACCTGACACAAATACTTGAACCTAACTTTCTTTCTAGTCAAGGATCTCTCTTAGAGAGTGGCTGTCTTGACAAGAATAAACTGGACATAGTACTTATGAGAGGCAGAGGGTGTTGGCCAGTATAAACAAGATTTCTATGAGAGCAACATCTTGTCATGGATCAAATACTTAGGTATTAGTTTATCTACACCGTAAAGAAATATCCCATAAAAGGCATACTGTCTATATCCACGACCAAATCCCTTGAATTTCTCATCAGGGTATGGTTAGAACTTGTGGTCACTCTTAAGACGGAGAACTGAATATCAAATTAACAGGGAACTATAACAATAGAAATCATAATATCTTCTATTTATAGACAATTGGTTTTCAACATTTGTGCCAAGGAAATCCAACCAGAAAACAGTAGTATTTTCCAAAAATGGTGTTAAATCAACTGGATATCTACATGCAAAATAATAAAGTTGAATTGCTTCTTCACATCATACATAAATATTAACTCAAAATAGATTAAAAATGAAACAAAGAAGTTAAAATTATAAAATTCTTAGAAAAAAAATAGATGTCAATCTTTGTGACCATGACTTAGGCTATGGTTTCTTAGATACATCATTAAAAGCACAAGCAACAAGAGAAAATATAGATAAGTTGTATTACACCAAAATTTAAATCTTTTGTGCTTCAAAGGACACCATCAAAAAAAGTGAAATAACTCATAACTCAGGAAAAAAATACTCGCAAATTGTATATATAATAAAAGGCATAAATCCAGAATATAAAAGCAAGTCAGGAATAAAACAATTCAGCAATAAAAAGTAACAAAAAGACAAGTCAGTTTTTTAAAAGAGTAAAAATTTGAATGGATATTTATCCAAAGAAGATATTCAAATACCCAATCACACATGAAAAGATGTTCAATATCTATCATTGTTCATTGGGGAAATGCAAATCTAAACTACGAGTTACCACTTCACACACACATAAGAGAGAATGTAAAGGAATTAAAGCTTTCTTACATTTCCAGTGAGATTTTAAACAGTATAGCTACTTTGAGAAATCATTTGGCAATTCCTGAAAATGTTAAACATACTTTTAGCATACAACCCAGCCTTTCCAACCCTAGGTGTACATACAGGAAAATAAAAACATACCATATTTTTACAAAAATTTGAATACATATTCATAGCAGTATTTTTCATAATTGCCTCACACTAGATACAGCTCATGATGGTTAATTTTATGTGCCAACCTGGCTAGCCTCTGGTGCCCAGTTTTTTTTTTTTTTCTCAAACATCAGTTTAGATTTTGTGGTGAAGGTATTTTTTATATGTGGCTAACATTTAAATCACTAGACTTCGAATAAAGCAAATCATGCTCCCACAATGCACATAGTACATGTCCAATTATTTATAACACCTAAGAGAAAAGACTGAAGTCACCCAAGAAGAAAAGAATTCTGCCTCCAGACTGCCTTTGAACTCAAGATTGCAGAACCAACTTTTTCCAAAATTTCTAGTCTGCTAGTTTGCCTTAGGGACTTTCCAGTTCACACAATCATGTGAGTTAATTCCTTAAAATAGATTAATTTCTCAAAAGACAGAAAGATCTTTATAGACTGATCCATCTATCTATCTATCCTATTAGTTGTTTCTCTGGAGAACAATGACTAATACAAATTTTGGTACTGAGAGTCATTCTAAGAGAACAAAATTGTGTGGATGAGATTATAAACTGGTCTTGAGATTTCTGGCATTTGTTCTCTAATCTGACTATATTTAAAGACATAATGACAATTTCCAGTAGTAAAGACAACATGAATGGTCCAAAGCATGATGTGGCAATAGAGACAAGAAAAGTATCATTATTTGATACTCCTAACTAAATACTTTTAAGAAGCAAGCTTCTGTGTCACTATGTATTTGATATTTTATAACATATTTGTCTAACTAATGAGTAGAATGGGATTCACTGATTGCCCTTATTTGTGCTGAACAAAGTCAGTAAAAAACAGGATAAGCTCAGCCACTAGAATTTTTGGCTCAAGTATGGCATAAATGGCCTGAAAATTTCTATGACTGCCTTGAAATGAACCCTTATCTCCTGTAGCCACAGAGCTTAGATTGCTGAAAATCGGACCAAAAATGTCATCCTGCAGGTGGCTGAATTATAACACAAACAGAATTTCCAACCTTGTAGAGTGTCTACAAGTGAGTTCCCAAGCTGTTCTGGTGGTTATTTGTCCTTTTCATTTGGAAAGGCTATATTTACCAAATGCCTGTATCCCCAATGTATCTAGGAAGTAAATAACTTGGTTTTGATTTTACAGGCTCATAGGTGGAAGGCACTTGCCTTGTCTCAAATGAGACTTTGGACTTGGACTTTTGGGTTAATGTTGGAATGTACTAAGACTCTGGGGGACTGTTGGAAAGGCATGATTGTTTTTTGAAATGAGGGCATGAGATTTGGGAAGGGCCAGGGGCAGAATGATATGGTTTGGCTGTGTTCTCACTGAACTCTCATCTTGAACTGTAGTTCCCATAACTCCCACATGTCATGGGAGGGACCCAGTGGGAAGTAATTGAGTTATGGGGATGGTTTCCCCCATGCTATTTTTGTGATACTCAGTAAGTTCTCATAAGATCTGATGGTTTTATATAGGGCTTCCGCCTTCGCTAGCCTGTCTTTCATTCTCTCTACTGTCACCCTGTGAAGAGTTGCCTTGTGCCATGATTGTAAGTTTCCTGAGGCCTCCCCCGCCATGTGGAACTGTGAGTATATTAAACCTCTTTTCTTTATAAATTGCCCAGTCCCACGTAAAATGGACTAATACAGCAAGGTATTACCATCTAGCTTGCGCTGTAATTGAGTCTTTAAAGGGCTACTTCACTATTTTATTAAGCTGGCTGTTTCAAAATAGTGAGTGTCTTTGTCTATTGGGGCTGCTATAACAAAGTACTATAAAAACTGGGTAGCTTGTAGGCACCAGAAATTCATTTTTCACAGCTCTGGAAACTGGGAAATCCAAGGTCAAAGTGCCAGCAGATTGGCATCTGGTGAGAGCTCACTCTCTTCTTCAAAGTTGGCATCTCCAAACTGTGTCCTAACATGACAGAAGGAGTGTGCAAGCTCCCTCAGGCCTCATTTATGAAGACACTAATCCCATCGATGAGGGTTCTGACTTCATGATTTAATAAAATTTCAAAGGCCACAACTCCAAATATCATCACATTCATGATTAGGTTTTCAATGTATTAATTAAGGGAGGGGGAGACAAACGTTCGGACCATAGCAGTGGGAAATATGGTACACATAATGAATTCCATAAATGTGCAACTATTGCCACAGTTCATTTGCTGTGAAGTGAGTTTCCTGACCAGAAGCAATGCTCTTCAGAATACCATGATGGTAAATAAGACATTGTTAAGGCCTGTGGATGACAGTTATGACCAAAGCACTGCATGCAGAGGAGGCAAATCTATATCCAGTTTAAGTATCTAGCCTGGTAAGAAGAAAACGTTGCCTCTTTCATGATAAAAAGCGATCCAAAGTGATCCAATGTAATTAATCTGCATATATATGTAATTAATCTGGACACATATGTGTATAATACACACACAAATAAACATGTTGGAGATGTAAGGTAAACTTACTTCATTTAAATATAGAAGCTTGTTCTTCTTTCAAACAAATATATTAGTCTTAGATGTTATGTAGAAGAAGAAATGTTCCTGAAAGGAAGGTCTGTAAAATTTGGAAATTAGATAAATAACACTTTCCGATATTCATGACAAACATAATTCATACATGGAATATGTATAATGCCTCCAAAAGAGCATTCTCAGGTTTTTTTTGGTCCTAATTTTCTCATCAGCAGTAGCACTTTCTTTTTAAGAAGTTGCAGTGAAAAATGCAAATGTGTCACCTAGATAAAGTAACACAACCCCAAACCATTAAGTATCAGAATAGAAAATGAAGGCTTCTCAAGAGAATGAGCCTGAGGTAATTCTTCACAGAACATGCCTACATGAGATGATGCAGGGAAAATATAGACAAAAATGCAGATGGTCAGAGAAGTGGAGCAGCTCTAGATAATATTTTTTTTATTTTCATATTTTCCTGTAGTAAATACTGCAGATATTTTTTGTTAACATCCAATATGAAGTGAAATTGCAGCAATATATTCACTGGAAACAGAAACAAGTCCTGTGTTCATTTTTTATTTAAAGGAAACTTGGGTTGTGAATTTTTCTCCATCATATATTTTATAACATCAATTAGTTTAAGATCTTTAAAATGTAAAGGCAAGTTTTATATATGTGGTAACTATTTCTAATATGCAGATTTAGTATGGAAAATCTACAAGGATTAAAAAATGACAAGTCAATGAAGAACAAGTACTCCATACAATGTTATATATTAAATAGAAATGACAGTATATGACATTATTGTGTCCAGAGGCCTGATAAGTGAAAAAAAAAAAAAAAACTTCTATCTTTAACTAGGGAAAAGCAATCATTTAATTCTCTAACAGTGTCTGGAGAGAATGAGCCCATTTCTAAAACAAACCTGAGAAAGCCAAATAACTCTGGCAATGACTATTTCCCTGGAGTATTTTATCCTTGTGTCTTTGCAAAGGGTAAAGTAGACACAAGACTTTATTCCATTTCCCAAGGTGAAATATAATCAAGATTTTCCAAAAATTATATATAAAATCCTCAATATTTGCCCAAAAGAACAACCGGTTAATTTTATCTGTTGGTAGGGTATTCTAAGGATCATCTTACCTTCCTCCTTAAAATATAAATCATTAAATGACTCTAAAAGATAAAATATGTAGCAACTTTGCCAACTTAGGTTGGTAAAATAAAAAACCGTGGTCTCTGGGAGAAGGTTAGATACATTTGAAAGCTACTATATTCATCATTTGAAGTTAAAAAACATATTTTATTTATTTATTTATTTATTTATTTATTTATTTTCTTTCCACCTATTAGGTTCAAGAGGTATGTGTGCAAATTTGTTACATGGGTAATTGCATGTCACAGGGGTTTGGTGTACAGATAATATTGTCACTCCAGAGACCAGCATAATACATGATAGATAGTGTTTAAATACTCATCCTCTTCCCATACTCCACCCTCAAGTAGGCCCCAGTGTCTATTCTCTTCTTTGTGTCCATGTATATTCACTATTTAGCCCCCGACCCTATAAGTGAGAACAGATGGTATTTGGTTTTCTGTTTCTGCATTAATTTGCCTCTGATACTGGCCTCCACCTCCATCTGTCTTGCTGCAAAGGACATAATCTCATTCTTTTTGTGGCTGTGTAGTATTCCATGGGAGATATATATATCACATTTACTTTATCCAGTCAGCCATTGATGGGCATCTAGTTTGATTCCTTGTCTTTACTATTGTGAATAGTGCTGCAATGAACATACTAGTCCATGTATCTTTATGATGGAACAATTTATATTCCCTTGGGTATATAATGGGATTGCATTCTACAACTACTATTGTAGAATGATATTTCTATTTTAAGTCTTGAGAAATCTTCAACTGCTTTCCACAGTGGCTGAAGTAATTTACACTCCCATTAGCAATGTATAAGCATTTCCATTTCTCTGTAACTTTGCCAGCATCTGTTGTTTTGACATTAAAAAAATAACCATTCTGACTAGTGTGAGAAGCTATCTCATTGTGATTTAGATTTGCATTTTCCTACTGATTAGCGATGTCGAGCATGTGTCCATATGTGTGTTGGGCACATATATGCTTTATCTTGAGAAGTGTATGTTCATAAACTTTGTCCATTTTTTAATGGGGTTGTTTGATTTTTCCTTGTTTAAGTTCCTTATAGATTCTGGTTATTGGACCTTTGTTTGATTCACAGTTTGCAAATATTTTCTCCCATTATGTGGGTTGCCTATTTACTCTAATAGTCTCTTCTGCTTTGCAAAAGTTTTTTAGTTTAATTAGATCCCACTTTATTTTTGGTTTTGTTGCAATTGTTTTTACAGTTTTCATCATGAAGACTTTGCTAGGTCCTATGTCCAGCATGATGTTTCCTAGGCTTTCTTCTTTGATTTTTATAGTTGTATGTTTAACATTGAAGTGTTTTATCCACTTTGAGTTGATTTTTGTATATGGTGAAAGGTAGGCATCCAGTTTCAATCTTCTGTATATGGCTAGCCAGTTATCTCAGCACCATACATTGAATAGGGAGTCTTTTCCCCATTGCTTGTTATTGTTGGCTTTGTTGAAGTTGAGATGGTTGTAGATGTGCTTTATTTCCTGGTTTTCCAACCTGTTCCATTGGTCTATATGTCTCTTTTTGTACCAGTACCATGTTTTAGTTACTGTAGCCTTGAAATATATTTTGACATCAGGTAGTGAGATGCCTCCATCTTTGTTCTTATTGCTTAGAATTGGTTTGCATATTCTGGCTCTGTTTTGGTTCTAAATAAATTTTAATTTTTTTCTAATCCTGTGAAAAATGTCACTGGTAATTTGATAAAAAGAGCATTAAATCTTTACATTGCTTTGAGTAGTATGGCAATTTTAACAATATTGTTTCTTCCTATCCATCAGCATGGAATGTTTTCCCATTTGTTTGTGTCATCTCTGCATCTCTGATTATTTTCAGCAGTGTTTTGTAATTCTTGCTGTAGAGATCTTTCAGCTGTCTGGTTAGCTGTATTCCTAGATATATATTTTTTTTCTTTTTGTGGCTATCATGAATGGGATTGTGTTCTTGATTTGGCTCTAGGCTTGGAAGTTATTGGTGTATAGATATACTACTGAGTTATGGACATGATTTTGTATCCTGAAACTTTACTGAAGTTGTTTATGTGATGTAAGAGCCTTTGAGCAGAGACTATGGGGTTTTTTAGGTGTAGAATCATATCCTCTGGAAAGAGAGATAGTTCAAATTCCTCTCTTTCTGCCTGTACGCCTTGTATTTGCTTGTCTGGCCTGATTGTTCTGGCTAGGAATTTTAGTACTATGTTGAAAAGGAACAGTGAGACTGGGCATTCTTCTCTTCTTCTGGTTCTCAATGGGGAATGCTTCCAGCTTTTACCCATCCAGTATGATACTGGCTGTTGGTTTGTCATAGATGACTCAATGTTTTGAGGTATGTATTTTCAATACCTAGATTGTTGAGGGTTTTTACATGAAGGGATGTGGAATTTTATCAAAAGCCTTTTCTGCATCTATTGAGATAATCATGTGGTTTTTGTTTTTAGTACTGATTATGTGATAAATCACATTTATTGATTTGCATATTTTGAATAAACCTTGCATCATAGGAATAAAGCCTACTTGATCCTGGTGTTTTAGTTTTTGATAGGCTGTTGGATTTGGTTTGCTAGTATTTGATAGAGGATTTTTGCATCTAGGTTTATTAGGGATATTACCCTGAAGTTTTCTTTTCTTGTTGTGTCTCTGCCGGGTTATGATATCAAAATGATACTGGCCTCATAGAATGAGTAAAGCAGGAATCCTTCCTCCTAAATTTTGTGGAATAGTTTCAGTAGAATTAATACCAGCTCTTCTTTATACAACTGATATTAATAAGATTCAGCTGTGAATCCATCTGGTCCAGGACTGTTTCTGGTAGGTAGGTTTTTCATTACTAATTATATTTTGTAACTTGATATCAGTCTGTTCAGAGTTCCAATTTCTTCCTAGTTTGATCTTGGGATGTTTTGTATTTCCAGGAATTTATCCACTTCTTTTATGTTTTCTACTTTTTGCGCATAGAGATGTTCATAATAGTCTCTCAGAGGTTTTTTGGTGTTTCTGTGAGGTTAATGTTAATATTCACTTTGTCATTTCTGATTGTGTTTATTTGGATTGTCTCTTGCTTTTTCTTTATAAATCTAGCTAGTGATCTATCAATCTTATTTATTCTATCAAAGAGACAATTTTTGGTTTCATTGATCTTTATGGCTTTTTTATCTGCATTTTATTCACTTCAGCTCTGATTTTGATTATTTCTTTTCAGAAATTATGTTCTAGCTGGGCGCAGTGGCTCCCACCTCTAATCCCAGCACTTTGGGAGGTTGATGTGGGTGAATCACTTGAGGTCAGGAGTTTGAGATCAGCCTGGCCAGCATGGTGAAATCCTGTCTCTACTAAAAATACAAAAATATACAGTTAATTTGCTCTTGTTTTTCTGGTTCCACTAGGTGTGCTGTTAGGTTGTTAATTTGAGATCTTTTTGATGTGGGTCTTTAGCACTATAATCTTTCTTGTGAACACTGCTTTATCTTTGTCCAAGAGATTCTAGTATGCTGTGTCTTTATTTTTATTAGTTTTTAATAATTTCTTAATTTCTGCCTTTATTTCGTTGTTTTCCCAAAACTTCTTCCAAAGCAGATTGTTCCATTTCCCTGTAATTGTGTGGTTTTGAGAAATGTTCTTGGTATTGATTTCTATTGTTGTTATCCTGTGGTCTGTAAGTGTGGTTGGTATAATTTTGGTATGTTCAATGTGTTGAGAATTACCTTCTAGCCAAATCTGTGGTCAATTTTAGTATATCTGCCATGTGCAGATGAGAAGAATGTATATTCTGTTTTTGTTGGGTGGAGTGTTCTGTAGATATCTGTTATGTCCATTTGGTCAAGTGTTGAATTTAGGTCCTGAGTATCTTTGTTAGTATTCTGTCTTGATGATCTGTCCAGTACTGTCAGTGGGGTTTTGAATTCTCCCACACTTATTGTGTGTTTATTTGTCTCTTCCTATGTCTCTATGAACTTGTTTTATGAATGTCTAGTGTTGGGTATATATATACCCAACACTAGACATTCATAAAACATATATATAAATATATATATATATAATTTCTTGTTGAATTTAATTCTTTATCATTATGTCATGCCCTTCTTTGTTCTTTTTGATCATTGTTGGTTTGAAGTCTGCTTTGCGTGAAATAAGAATAGCAATCCCCCTTAGTTTTTTGTTTTCCATTTGCTTGATAGATCTTTCTCCATCCCATTACTTTGAGTCTATGTATGTCCTTACATATGACATGAGTCTCTTGAAGACAGTGTACAGTTGGGCATTGCTTCTTCATTAAACTTGACTACTTTGTGACTCTTAATTGAAGCATTTAGCTCATTTATGTTCAGTGTTAATATTGATATGTAAAGACGATCCTGTCATCATGTTATTACCTCACGATGTGTCTGTCAAGATCTTTTGCCCATTAAAATGTGTTTCTTTTTATAAGTTTTAAGTATTCTTTGCATATCCCAGATAGAAGTTTTTTTTAGAAACACTATTTCCAGATAGTTTTTTCAAGTCTGTGACTTATCTTTTCATCCTCTTAATAGTGACTGTCAGAGAGAAAAAAGGTTATAATTTTATTAAGTCCAACTCATAAAAGTAACTTGTCATGGATTGTGCATTTGGTCTTGCATATAGAATTTTACCAACAATCTCAAAATCACACAAATTTATTCCTAGATTTTCATCTAGAAATTTTATACTTTTACATTTAACATTTGGGTGTGTTATCTATTTTGCATTTTTTTTTGGTAAGATGTAAAGTCTGTATCTTTGATTTTTTAAATTTTTTCCATATTTTATCTTTTTCTTTAATGATGTCTGATTCTTTCAGTACCATTTGTTCAAAAAACAATTTTTTCTTTAATTGCTCTTGTATTCTTTCCAAAAGTCAGTTGAGCATATTTGTGTGAGTCTATATCTGTTTTCAATATTGTTTCATTTATCAGTGTTTGTATCCTTTTTCTATACAACACTCTTGGTACTGTAACTTTATTATTAGTCACAAAATTGAGTAATGTGAGTATTCTAGTTTAGTTTTTCTTTTTCAGAATTAATTTAGGTATTTAAGATCATTTGCTTTCAGAATTATTTTTTCAATAAATAGAATATGTCCATCAAGAAGACCCAGCAACCAATCCCAAGCAAGGACTCTCAGCACATAGAGAACAAGGATGACAATGCCAACCACCAGAAGTAAGCCACGGATCTCAGACCACTGCATCTTCTACAGGTTCAAAGTCACCAAAAAGGACTCAACACACAAGGCACTAGCTGGAACAACACATTACTCACAGAATAGAAAAAAACACATAGCAAGATCACGGTCTGTACTATGTGCTGGTCTCCCATGGCCAGTGGGTTGCTGCTGACAGACTTCACAGAACAATAGACCACACACTCCCCTCTTATGCAGCAGGTAATTACCTTGTTTCTTTCCCATGTGGGGACATATATACTGGAGGGACTGGTCAAGTGCCATATGATGTGCACACTTAAGCAACACACACAAAAAAATGTGCTGTGTACTAAGAACAGAAGAAGCTTCACTTTTAATAAGAAAAAAAGACTCAGGGGCCAAGAGACAGCTTGGTCCTAGCTTCCATAGAGGGGAATGTTCCAGACTCAGGCCGTTGACTGAACAATCTAAAAGACAGGAAGTATGTCACATAATGACTGCTTCTTCAACACCCCATCCAATATTGGGATGCCATGAAGAAAGAACAAAGCACATCATACAGGATAGGACTAACAGACACCCCGAATATGAGATGCCTGTGTGTCCAATGTGGTCTGTGAATAATTTCAATGGTAGTGACTTGCTTGTAGAGTCTCCCTGCCCAATTGGACAGCACTTGATCAGAGTCACTAACAGGATCAGTCAAAGGAGGATGATCAGGCCTTCAAGAAGTATAGTTCTTTGCCAGAAGCCCCAGGTGTTGGTGTTTAGGCAGCTAAAATGGTTAAAGAATGAGTCTAACTAAGACTGAGAGTTTACAGAGAAGTACCATCCTGCTTGAGCATGGATCTCCTCCAGCTTGGTCTCAATTTTCTTCAAATTGCTTATGTATACACAGCAGGAGAGACTGTTGAGATTAATTAAGTTAGATTTTAGTATCCAGAAATAAACCCTTACGTTTATCATCAATTGATTTTTTAAAAAGGTAACCAGGAAAATGTAATAAAAATACACCAGTCTTTTCATCAAAGGATGTGAGGCAGCTGAAGAAAGAATAAGGTTGACATTTTTACACCAGATACAAAAATTACCTGAAAGTAGATTGAAGGTGTAAATATAAGGGATATAATTATAAAATTTTTGAATGAAAATATTCTGACCTTGGGTAAGGCAGCAGTTTCTTAAATATGACTGCTGAAATATAAATATAAGCAAAAAAAGAAAAACTGGATGAATTTGACTTAATTAAAATGTAAACGTTTTGTGCCAAAAATGACACCATCAAGAAAGTAAAAAAATTATATATGACTTGAATGATGTCAACAGTCAACTAGAGTTGTCCGCTGCTCAGCTTCCCAACAAAAAGTGACCAAAACAACAGATTAACAACTATATTTTGACTGCAGTGACAGAGGAAATAGCCTGGAAATCATCAGGGAAATGAGGACCCTATGGAGCATAGAAGACCAGGATTTCACTATAGAAAGGGTAGTGAGGCATCTTGCCTCTGTCACACAGTCTCCTTTGCCAAGTTGGCTCAGAACCAGGAACAACTTATTGTTGGGAAAAGTATGTTGGATAACATTGATGGTGCCAAACACCATCATGGATGCCAGACGTTATTGATATAGAAGGGTCCCCCAGTCCTCAAAGACCCCAATTCCAATGTGGAAATTTGCCAGGAGTCTCTGTGACTGCAAAATCCAAGAGTAGAAATCCCCTGGGCACCCCCTACTTCCAAAACCTAAGCTCCTACTATACGGCACCTTCTTAAGACTAAACACACATCTGGAGTAAGTTCTGCCCTTGAGGCCAGTAGCTCTTCACTCTTCATCCTTCAGGTCCCACCATCATTTCACTGTGTTCACATGAGTGCCTGCAGCAACAATACGCCAGTTGCCCAGAACCTATGCCTAAAGAAATGACTAAAACCCCAACACCTGAAACTGTGAGGCACACTATCCATAAAGGAACACACAGGCATCCTCAGGCTGCCTGGCCCAACACACAGCTGTCTCTAGCACCAGTCAGCCTGGAGCTGGTCCTATTCCAGTGGAGAGTGCCTGGGGAGCTACCCAACCCATGTTCCTCTGCCTGCAGCATGACAACCAGCCTGTCTCTGATCCTAATCTTCCAGAGAGCCCACCACACAGTCTGCCATTCTGCTGTACTCACAGATACCTGGCTTGACAATCAACCAGGGCCCCTGCTGCAAGCAAAACCACAACACTACATTACAAACTTCCACATTACACATGAAGATTATAGCTGAAGAATCTGTATGGAGACCATGTTACTGAATCCATTCAGAAAGAAAGCCAGTGCATCATTTACAACTGACATCTTATGATCTATATACAGGAAAAAGCCTCTTCTTATGACAGCTACTCCATAACATGGGAAAGAAAAGTAAATGCCCCACTAGATATGCAAATTTCAAATTAGGAATATGAGAAACATAAAAAGCAAGGAAATATAACACCCCCCAAAAACCAAAATAAGTGTTCAATAGAAGCCTGCCCCCAAAAAAGGATGTTTAGAAAATGCCTGAAAATGGTCAAAATAATGATCTTAGAAAACCTCACTAAGATACAAGAGAATACAAACAATTTGATAAAATCTAAGAAAAAATTGTATGAATGAAAAATTCAACAAAGAGGTAGATATTACTAAAAAGAAACAGAGAAATATTGGAACTGAAGATTTCAATAAATAAAATAAAAATACAGTTGAGAGCTGCAACAACAGATTAGATCAAATGAAAAAAGAAAAATTCTAAATTTGAAGATACATTTTGAAATTACCCAGTCAGAGAAAAAAAAGCAGTAGGAATTTAAGAAATGAAAAACATCTAAGGAACTTAAGAAAGACCATTAAGCAAACAAAATTTTTGCACTATTGCAATGTCAGAAAAAGAAGACCTGGAGAAAGACATTGAAAACATATTTAACAAAGTAATAGCTAATAACTTTTCAAGTTTTGAGAGAGATATTGACATCCAGCACCAAGAATCTCAAATGTCGATGAGATTCAACCCAAAAAAATTATCTCTTGGGTACCTTATAATCAAACTGTCAAAAGTCAAAGAAAAAGAAAGAATTTCAAAAGCTGCAAGAAAAAAATGTCAAGTGACACATAAGAAAGTCACCAATAGACTATCCAAAGATTTCTTAGCAGAAACCTGGATGGCCAGGAGAGAATAAAATGATATATTTAAAGTGCTGGAATGAAAAGATCAGCCAAGAATACTATTTCCAACAAAACTATCTGATGGAAATGAAGGAGAAATAGAAACCTTACCAGACAAGCACATACTGAAGAGACTCATCACCACTAGACCAGCTTTACAAGAAATGCTTAAAAGAGTGCTACAACTACAAACAAAATGATGAGAATACCTACTAAGAAGACAAGTGAAAGTATAAAACACACTAGTATAGGTAAATTTATAAGTGTAATCAGAATACCACAGTAGTGTAATAATTCCATGTAAATCTTTCAATTCACTAGGATAAAGGTCAAAAGTCAAAAAGATAAAAAATCAACAACTAAAATTAGTGGCTAAGAAACACACAAAAAATACAAAAAGATAAATTAAGGCAAAAAATATTCAAGTTGTTGAGGGGAGGGAACAAAGTCTAGAATATTTTTATGTGACTGAAGTAAAGTTGTTATCAGCATAAAATAGTCTACTCTGACTATAAGATTATATTAGCATCATGGTAACGCATAGATTGAAATTACAGCGATAAAAAATAAATAAGAAAGATACAGGAAACAAATCTTAGAACTACAGAAAACAACCAAATCACAAAGGAAAATAATAAGAAAGAAAAAAAATACAAAACTACAAGAAAGCAACTAACAAAATGGCAGGAGTAACTACTCATCTATCAATATTAACCTTTTTTGATTAATTTTATTATTATTATTACTTAATTTTTGGAAAACAGGTGGTGTTTCATTACACGGACAAGTTCTTTAGGTGTGATTTCTGAGATTTTGGTGCACTCATCACCCAAGCAGTGTACACTGCACCGAATGTGTAGTGTTTTTATTGCTCACCCTCCTACACGTTGCCCAAAGTCTCTGCAGTCCATTAGATCATTCTTACATCTTTGCATCCTCATAGCTTAGCTCCTACTTATAAATAACATACAATGTTTGGTTTTACATTTGTGAGTTACTTCACTTAGGATAATGGTCTCCAACTCCATCCAGGTTGTGGCAAATGCCATTATTTCCTTCCCTTTTATGGCTTAGTAGTATTCCATGGTATGTGGAATATACACGTGTGTGTATATATTTATATAATATTTATTTTATCCACCCATTGGTTGATGAGCATTTAGGCTGGTTCCATAATTTTGCAATTGCGAATTGTGCTGTTGTAAACATGCATGTGCAAGTGTCTTTTTCATATAATAAGTTCTTTTTCTCTGGGTAGATACCCAGTAGTGGGATTGCTGGATCAAATGGTAATTCTACCTTTAGTTCTTTAAGGAATCCCATACTGTTTTCCATAGTGGTTGTACTAGTTTTAGTTTACATTCCTACCAGCAGTGGGAATGTGTCCCCTTTTCACCACATCCATGCCAACATCTATTATTTTTTTATTTTTAAATTATGGCCTTTCCTGCAGGAGTAAGGTGGCATCACATAGTGGTTTTGATTTCCATTTCCCTGATAATTAGTAATGTTGAGCGCTTTTTTTCAAATGTTTGTTGGCCATTTGTATATCTCCTTTTGAGAACTACCTATTCATGTCCTTAAACCACTTTTTAATGGGATTATTTATTTTTCTCATACTGATTCCTTTGAGATCATTTTAGATTCTGGATATTAGTCCTTTGTCAGATGCATACCTCGCAAATATTTCATCCCACTCTGTGGGTTATCTGTTTACTCTGCTGATTATTTCTTTGGCTGTGCAGAAGCTTTTTAGTTTAATTAAGTCCTATCTATTTATCTTTGTTTCTTCTACATTTGTTTTTGGGTTTTTGGTCATAAACTCTTTGCCTAAGCCAATGTCTAGAAATGTTTTTACAATGTTATCTTCTAGAATTTGTAGGGTTTCAGGTCTTAGATTTGAGTCTTTGACCCATCTTGAGTTGATTTTTGTATAAGGTGAAAGGTGAGGATTCATTTTCATTCTTCTACATGTGGCATGCTAATTATCCCAGCATCATTTGTTGTACAGGAAGTTCTTACCCCACTTTATGTTTTTGCTTGCTTTTTGAAGGTCAGTTGGCTGTAAGTATGGGCTTTATTTCTTGGTTTTCTATTCTGTTCCATTGATCTATGTGCCTGGTTTTATACCAGTACCATGCTGTTTTGGTAACTATAGCCTTGTAATATAGTTTTAACTTGAGTAATATGATGTTTCCAGATTTGTTATTTTCACTTAGTCTTGCTTTGGCTATGCAGCATCTTTTCTGTTCTATATAAATTTTAGGATTGTTTTTCTAGTTCTGTAAAAAATGGTGATGGTGTTTTGATGGGAATTGCATTGAATTTATAGATTGCTTTTGGCAGTATTGTGATTTTAACAGTATTGATCATACACATTCATGAGCATGGGATGTGTTTCTATTTGTTTGTGTCATCTATGATATCTTTCAGCAGTGTTTTGAAGTTTTCCTTGTAGAGATCTTTCATTTCTCTGGTTAGGTATCTTCCTAAGTATTTTATTTTATTTTCCAGTGGTTATAAAAGGCGTTGAGTTCTTGATCTGATTCTCAGCTTGGTCGCTATTGGTGTATAGCAGTGTTACTGATTTGTGTACATTGATTTTGTATACTAGAACTTCACTGAATTCATTTATCAAGTCTAGATTTTTTGATGGGTCTTTGGGGTTTTCTAGATTTTCAACCATATCCTCAGTGAACAGCTGAAAGTAAAAAACTTGGTATTGATATTACAGGCTCATGGGTGAAAGGAACACATCTTGAGTTTCAGGTAAAACTTTGGACTTTGGACTTTGACTTAATGCTAGAACGAGTTAAGCCTTTTACAGACTATCAGAAAAAAATGATTTTATTTTAAAATGTAAGAAGGATATAAGATTTTGGGCAACAGGGCAGAATAATATAGTTTTAATGTTTGTCCCACCCAAATCTCATGCTGAAATGTCATCGCTAATGTTGAAGTTGGGGCCTTGTGGGAGGTGTTGGGGTGATTTAAGCAAGTCACTCAAGAATGGCCTGGTGCCTTCTTTGCAGTAGTGAGTGATTTATTTCTCTGAGTTCATGTGAGATATTGTTGTTTAAAAAAGTGTGACCACTCCCTTCATTTCTTCCTTTCTTGTAATCTGATGTTCTGAATCTCCCTTTGTCTTCTGCCATGCTTGGAAGCTTCCTGAGACCTCACCAGAAGCAGATGCTGGTTTCACGCTTTCTGTGTAGTCTGTAGAATCATGAGCCAAAATAAATCTCTTTTTTTAATAAATTACCCAGCTTCAGGCCTTATTTTATAGCAATGAAAATTGACTAACACATAAACCTAGCAAGCTTAAGTTATTCAAGTATACAAAATCCAAACTGGCTGATAAAAGTGAGAACATGAAATTAGTAATAAAACGTGTCCCATCAAAAAACAAACTCAGGAAATCATGGCTTCAAAGCTCAAACTACTAAACATTTCAAGAAGACCTAATAAAGCTCTTCTCAAACTTTTACAAAAAATTGAAGATGAATAAATACTTATAAATTCATTCTAGGAGGCCAGCATTACCCTAATTCCAAAACCTAACATGAATACAACAACAACAAAAAAAGAAAACTACAGACCAATATTTATAATGAACATAGATGTAAAAATTCTCATCGAGATACAAGCAAACAAATTTTCAGTGCACATCTTTAAGATGATTTAATATCATTAAATGGCATTCATCCAAGGCATGCATGGATGCTTCAACATGTGCAAATTAATAAACATAATACATGACATTAACAAAAAGAAAGACAAAGGCCATATGATTATTTCAATAGATGCAGGAAAAGTATTTGACAAAACTCAACATCCCTTTCTAATAAAACCTCTTAAAAATTTATATATAGATGTTTTATACCACAACATAATACAGGTTATATATGAAAAACCCACAGTTAACATTATACTAAACAAGGAAAAGCTGAAACCTTTTTTTCTAAGATCTAAAACATGACAAGGGTGACCACTTTTACCACTCTTATTACACATAGTACTGGAAGTCCTAGCCAGAGCAACTAGGCAAGAAAAAAAAAAGACATTTTAACTATAAGGGATAAAGTTAAATTGTCTCTGTTTGTAGACGATGTAATCTTATATATAGAAAACATTAAATGTTTCTCCAAAAAACTGTAATAAGTAATAAAGTATGTAAAGTCATAAGATATGAATCAATATACAAATTTAGTAGCATTTCTATTAATAGAGAATACTCAGGAAAAGAAATAAAGCAATTTCATTTACAATAGCTACAAAAAAATAATATATTGAGAAATAAATTCAACAAAAGTGTTGAAAAAATCTCTATACTGGAAACTATAAAACATTGATGAAAGAAATTAAAGACACAAACAGAAAGATATCTTATGTTGATGTATTGGAAGAATTAATACTGTTATAATGGTCATACTACCCAAAGCAATATATAGGTTTAATGCAATCTACATCAATATATAATTTTTCAAAGAACTAGAAAAAAATCCTAAAAGTCATATGTAACTACAAAAATCCCCAAATAGACACAGCAATGTTGTACAAAAAGAACAAAGCTATAGGTATCACACTACCTGATTTCAAATCCTACTAAAAATTTATAGTAAATAAAGTAGCATGGTACTGGCATAAGAAACAGACATATAGACCAATGGAACAGAATAGAAATTATAGAAGTAAATTTATGTATCTACAGTCAACTCATTTTCAACAAAGTTTCCAAGAATATAGATTGGAGAAAAGATAATCTCTTCAATAAATAGTGCTGGAAAAACTGAATATTTATATGCAGAAGAATGAGACTAGACCCCTACCTCTAATCATATATAAAAATAAATTCTAAGTGATTAATGACTGTATTAGTCTGTTCTCATACTGCTATAAAGAAATACCCAAGACTGAGTAATTTATAAAGGAAAAAGATTTAATTGACTCAAAATTCCACATGTCTGGGGAGGCCTCAGGAAACTTACAATCATGGCAGAAGAAGCAAGCATATCTAACAGTAGCATGTGAGAGAGCATGTGTTTAGGAAGCAAAGGGGAAAGAGCCCCTTATGAAAGCATCAGATCTCATGAGAACTCACTCACTATAATGAGAACAGCATGGGGGAAACCACCTCCATAATCTAATCGCCTCCCATAAAGTCACTTCTTCAACACCTGGGGATTACAATTTAAGATGAGATTCAGGTGGGGACATGAAGGTTAACCATATCATTCTGTCCCTGGACCCTCCCAAACTCATGTCCCTTTTACATTTCAAAACCAATCATGCCTTCCCAACAGTACCCCAAAGTCTTAAATCATTCCAGCATTAACCCAAAAATCCAAGTCCAAAGTTGCATCTGAGACAAGGCAAGTCTCTTCTGCCTAAGAGCCTGTAAAATCAAAAGCCACTTAGTTATTTCCATGATACAATGGGGGTACAGGCATTGTATAAATGCTCCCATTCCAAATGGGAGAAATCCGCCAAAACAAAGGGGCTACGAGTCCCCATGCCAGTCTGATATCCAACAGGGCAGTCATTAAATATTAAAGCTCCAGAATGATCTCTTTTAGCTTCCTGTCTCACATCCAGGTCACAATGATGTAAGAGGTGGACTCCCATGGTCATGGGCAGCTCCACCCCTGTGGCTTTGCAGGGTACAGCCCCCTTCCTGGCTGCTCTCATTGGTTGGCATTGAGTGTCTGAGACTTTTCTGCATCTACTGTGCAAGCCGTCATTGGATCTATCATTTGGGGGGCTGGAGGACGGTTGCCCTCTTCTCAGACAGTAGCTGACTGGGGACTCTGTGTGGGGGCTCCAACTCCACATTTCCCTTCTGCACTGCCATAGCAGAGGTTCTCCGTGAGGGCTCTGCCCCTGCAGCACACTTCTGCCTGAATATTCAAGATTTTGTATACATCTTCTGAAATCTAAATGGAAGTTCCCAAACCTTTTTGTCTTCTGCGTACCTGCAAAACCAGCATCATGTGGAAGGTGCCAAGGCTTGGGGCTTGCACCCTCTGAATCAATGGACTGACCTGTACCATGACCCCTTTTATCCACAGCTTGAGTGGCTGGGATGCAGGCCACCATGTCCTGAGGCTGCACATAACAGGGGATCCCTGGACCTAGGCCCACAAAATCATTTTTTCCTCCTAAGCCTCCAGCCCCTGTGATGGGAGGGACTGTCATGAAGGTCTCTGATATGCCCTGGAGACATTTTCTACATTGCCTTGGCGATTAACATTTGGCTCCTCATTACTTATGCAAATTTCTGCAGCAAGCTTGAATTTCTCCCCAGAAAATGGGTTTTTCTTTTCTGTCACATCACCAAGCTGCGAAGTTTTCAAAGTTTTATATTCTGTCACCTCTTGAATGCTTTGCTTCTTAGAAATTTCTTCTACCAGATATCCTAAGTCATGTCTCTCAAGTTCAAATTTCCACAAATCTCTAAGTTGGGGCAAAATGCCAGCAGTTTCTTTGCTAAAGCATAGCAAGAGTGACCTATGCTCCAGTTCCCATTAAGTCCCTCATCTTCAGATGAGACCACCTTAGCCTGAATTTCATTGTCCACACCACTGTATTTTGATAAAAACCATTCAACAAGTCTCTAGGAAGTTCCAACTTTCCCCACATTTTTTCTGTCTTCTTCTGAGCCCTCCAAAATATTCCAACCTCTACCTGTTACCCATTTCCAAAGTCACTTCTACATTTTCAGGGATCTTTATAGGAGTACCCCACTTTACCAGTACCAGTTTACTGTATTAGTCTGTTCTCACACTGCTATAAAGAAATACCCAAGACTAGGTCATTTATATATATATATATATTTTAAAAAGTGGTTTAATTGACTCACAGTTCTTCACGACTGGGAAGAGGCTGAAGGAAACTTACAATCATGACAGAAGGGGAAGCAAGCATGTCTTACATAGCAGCAGGTGGGAGTGTGTGTATGTAGAAAGCAAAGGGGGAAGAGCCCCTTATAAAACCATCAGATCTCATGAGAACTCATGTACTATCATGAGAACAGCATGGGGAAAACCACCCCCATGATCCGATCACCTCTCACCAGTTATCTCCTTCAATACCTGGGGATTACAATTCAAGATGAGATTTGGCTGGGGACTCAAAGTCTAACCATATTTATGACTTAAATGTAACATTTAAAACTATAAAACTACTAGAAGAATCCATAGGAAAAAAATTATGGCATTGGACTAGGCAAAAATGTTTTAAATAAGAACTCAAAAGCAAAGGCAACAAAAGCAAAATATAGACAAATGTAATTACATCAAACTAAAAAGCTTTTGCATAGCAAAGGCAACAATAGAGTGAAGAGACAATATACAGAATAAGATATAAAATTTGCAAGCCATACATCTGACACAGGGTTAGTATCCAGAATATAAGAATCTGAACAGCAAAAACCAAATAAATGATTTAAAATATGTAAAAGATCTTTAGACATTTCCAAATAAACACACACAAATGGACCACATACATGAAAAAATGCCCATCATCACTGATCATCAGAGAAATAAGAATCAAAATCAAAATGAGACACCATCTCATTTTAGTTAGAATGCATATTACCAAAAAGTGTTGCTGAGGATGTGAAGCAAAGGGAACATTTACACACTGTTTATGGGACTGTAAATGAGTACATCCACTATGGAAAAATTATGGAGTTTCCTCCAAAAATTAAAACTAAAACTACAGTATGACCTAGCAATCCCACCCTTTTTTCAGTATGTAAAAGAAATATTTGCCCTCACATGTTTATTGTAGCACTGTTTTCAATAGCCAAGATATAAAATCAATACAATCGCCTAACCAAGAATAAATATATAAAGAAAGTGATATATATACACAATGGGTATTATTCAGCCATAAAAAATGAAATTCTGTAATTTGCAAAAACATGGATGGACCTGGAGAGCATAATTTTCATTGAAATAAGCCAGACAGAAAAATATACAGCATGATTTCATTCACATGTGGAATCTGAAAAAAAAAATGATATCACAGAAGCAGAGAGTAGAACAGTGGTTACTAGAGACTGGGGAAGAGGGGGTGGAAGGGAGAATGGGAAGAGGTTTGCCAACAGATAGAAAGTTACAATCAGACAGGAGAAATAAATTCTACAGACAATAATGTATTGTACATTTCAAAATAACTAGAAAAAAGAAATATGAATGCTCTCATCACAAAACATTTAAAATGATCAAGGTAATATATTTGCCAATATGATTTGATCTTTCTGCAATTTACACATATATATAAAAAATGCATTTTGCCCCATAAATTTGTATAATTACAATGTGGCAATAAAAGCATGACTCACATAATGAAAGAAATATTTTACAAATCATATACATCATAAGGGACTTGTTTCTAGAAAATAAAAACCCCACATAATAATAAAAAGAATAATTATGGAAATAAAAGGGGAAAGGGTTTGAATAGATAATTTCAAAGATATTTACAAATAACTAACAGTCAATTGAAAAAATACTGAATATTATTTATTATTAGGGAGAGGCAAATCAAAACTATGAGATATTATTTTATGACTTCTAGAATGAGTGTCATCTAAAAGAACAACTATGAAACACTTGGCAAAAATGTGGGGAAATTGGTACATTCCTAAATTGCTAGAAAAAAAGTAAGTGGGTTATTACCTTTTGAAAAAAGTGTGAAACGTTCTCAAAAATTTAAACAAAGCTATCATATGACCATACAATTCTACTCCTAAGTATATACTCGAAAGAAATAAAAATGCAAACCAATAGAGAAACTTGTATACAATTGTTCACAGCAGCATCATTAATAATAGTTAAAAAGTGAGGGAAAAGGCTGGGCATGGTGGCTCATGCCTGTAATCCCAGCATTTTGTGAGACTGAGGTGGACAGATCACTTGAGCCCAAGTCTTTGGGACCAGCTTGGGCAATATGGAATAAACCCATCTCTACCAAAAAAAAAAAAAAAAATATATATATATATATATATATATATATGTATATATATATATATATATACAAAAAAAAATTAGCCAGGTGTGGTGGCACATGCCTGTAGTCCTAGCTACTTGGGAGGCAGGGCTGGGAGGATCACTTGAGCCTGGGTGGGAGACGTTGCAGTGAGCTGAGATCATGCCACCACACTCCAGCCTGGGTGATAGAACAAGACCCTGTCTCAAAAAAAAAGTGGGAAAAAAAAGTTTATCAGTTGATAAATGGATAAACAAACTGTGGTATATCTACAACTATTACTCTTTCAAAAGAAATGAAGAACTTCTGGTTTCCTGTCTGATATGTGAGCATGGAAGCCACCATCATTCTCTCAACAAGAAAAGAAGTTATTAAACTGAAAATTAACAATTGTTCTTATGTACATCAGAGAATGTGTGGTCACAGGTCAAACTGCTGCTCCAAAACTTTGAGAAGCACACAGATGGATACAAAAAAAATCACTATTTACTAGAGCAGAAACCACTACCAGAATAGTAAAACCTAGCCTACTAATTCCTGGCTGCTCAGCATGGGCAACTTTGAGAGTGAAGACCTGGGGAATGGAAAAAAAAAAAACAGTTGGGGAGTCAGTCTTATGGAAACCCACACACTTTTGTGAGTTTTTTTCTCCAGAAATCCCATTATGTTCTCACAGTGAAAGAGAAAAAAATCTCCCAAATTTCTGGCCGCAAGACAGAAAATGTAGCCATTTAGAAATATATCCAGAATATTTTGTTCTTAGCTAGGCCTTCCCTCAAGAGATACTACTATTATTTATTTATTTTTTTTTCAGGGTGGCTGACTAGGAACATTGGAGGTGAGTTCTCCTCAGAGCAAAAATCAAAGTTACCAGTGAATAAACAGGTTTTAAATGGAAAACTGAAGGAAGATAATCAAGATTTGTCAGAGTGCACATGGGAAGAAGATAAGATGCAGAAAAAGAAATCAGCAAGACTCCAGCAGAGATAAATTCCCAAGGAAGTCAGAGTTCTGTAGAAAGGATAGGTGGGAGTGCTTCTCTGCTCCCTTCAGTCCTCTGACAATCTGTTGACTGCTAAACTGTTGGGGAGCCCCTCTGCCCTCATCACCCTGGGCAAAACTATCAATGATGATTTGAGCATTTCCCGTGACAGAGTATTGCATGGCCAGCTCTCACAGGTGTTCCCACACTCCCCTTCTATCTGAACTGAGTTGACAGGTAACATACTGGTTGTGCACCACAGGTTGGTAACAGCCCTTCCAAGAGATTCTCAACCCTTGAGCCACAGCATCACTAGATAACTGTGCAAACATACCTCATAACCTGCTGTGACTTTTGCAAGCACAAGAGACTAGCAGGTCCCTGGGATGTTGTAGGACACCTGGACATATAACCCTCAGCATGAGCCACTGCTCAGTGAGGGGGTTGCACAGCCAAAAAAAACCCATTGGTACAAAGGAAACATGGATGGAGTGCCAACTGCTGAAGGCAGTAACACTGACACCAAGGAACAAACATGAAAAGGAGGTCATTTCCCACCTCCTCCCGTACAGAGCTGAGGATGCATCAGTGGTCCTTCCCACCAGGGGATAGAAAGCATGCCTCAAAAAATGTTTTTTTGTTTTGTTTTGTTTTGTTTTTGTTGTTTGTTTTTTTCCACACTTAACTGTGGCAGCTTCAACCCTAGTGAAAGTAGGTCCACACCTGCCTAGGCTTTTACTTTGGCAGAGCCCATCTCCCTCTTCCATACACAGAGAGGCAGCACCCTGCTAATGAAGGACAAACCATGGAGTGGCCTGCCCTAGACTGGGGAAAGAGGCACTGTATCGAGCCCCATTTTAGTGGTAGCCATCAGAGACGCTTATCTGTGTCCCGCAGACACACTAGCTGGGAACAAAAAGATGAAGCCTTTATAAACTTAAGGTAGGCCGGGCGCGGTGGCTCATGCCCGTAATCCTAGCACTTTGGGAGGCCGAGGCGGGCAGATCACTTGAGGTCAGGAGATTGAGACCAGCCTGGCCAACGTGGTGAAACTCTGTCTCTACTAAAAATACAAAAATTAGCCACACGTGGTGGCAGGCGCCTGTAATCCCAGCTACTCTGGAGGCTGAGGCACAAGAATCACTTGAACCCGGGAGGCGGAGCTTGCAGTAAGCTGAGATTGCCCCACTGCACTTCAGCCTGGGTGGCAGAGCAAGACTCTGACTCAAAAAAAGATAAAAACGAAAAACAAAAAACTGAAGGTAATGACCCCCGTGACAGAGGCATGATAGGGAAGTGGATCGTGTTTCTGCTGGCTCAGGACAAGGAACTGGTGCACCAACTTCCACCCCTGCTGCTTCCCTAGAAACCTCAGCACACTCCATCACAATCTCTTCCTGCCACTCCAGTCAGGAGAGATGTGTCCACTTGGCACCAGCCTAACTGAAAGCTCTTACTCTTAAGTACCGTCTCTTGGGTTTCAGCCTGAAATGTACCAGGAAGTAAAACACCTTCTACCAGAAAGGCTTAGTGCTGCTGCATGAGATAAGCTCCCTGAGACCTCCACACCATCAGACCCAGAAGAGAGAGTGTGTCAGCCCTCATATCTAATACATTGCTACAACAAGCAACATGTGAGAAAGCCACCGCATAAAAACTATCCATAACCAAAACATCCATACAGGGCTTCAGCTTCTTGAAAGCACTCAGAAAAAAAGCCAAACAATCATACACAACATACACCACAGTCAAAAACTCAAAAGAAAAAAGAATTTAAAAATTAAACAGCCCATGTAAATGATAGTAAATGTAAAATAAGAAGTGACAGCTACTTTAGATTAGAAGGAATCAGCACAAGAATTTCAGTACTACAAAAAGCCAAAGTGCTCTGACACTTCTAAAGGATCACACTAGCTCTCTAGCGATGAATCCTAATCAGATAGAAATGACTGAAATGACAGATAAAAAATTCCATATATAGATTGAAATAGACCTCAATGAGATCCAGGAGAAAGTTGACATCCAATACAAGTAAGCAGGAAAAAAATCAGAATATGAAATATGAAATAGCTATATTGAGAAAAAAAACAAATAAAACTACCTGAATTGAAAAACTCACTATAAGAATTGCAAAATATAGGTGGAAGTTTTAAAAATAGACTAGAAAAAGCAGAAGACAGAATTTCAGAGCACAAAGTCCAGTCTTTTAAATTAACCCACTCAGAAAAAAATTTAGAAAATGAATTTAAATAAATGAACAAAGCCTTTGGGAAATATGAGAGTATGTAAAGCAAACAAGCCTATGACTTATTGGTGTTCCTCAGAAAGAAAAAAAAGTAAGCAACTTGGAAAGCATATTTGAGGGAATACTTTATTAATTTGTTTAAAATTTTGCCAAAGAAGTCAATATCCAGATACAAAAATTAAAATAACTCTTCCAAGATACTACACAAGACGACCATCACTAAGACATATAGTTAGCAGGGTATCTGAGGTCAATATGAAAGAAAAAATCTTAAAGGCAGCTACAGAAAAGGGCCAAATTATCTATCAAGAAAATCCCATAAGATTAACAGCAGACTACTCAGCTGAAATTTTATAAACAAGAAGAGGTTAAGAGCCTATTTTTAGCTTTCCTAAAGAAAAAAACGTGAGGCAAGATTTTCATATCCTGCCAAACTAAGCTTTATAAATGAAAGAGAAATAGTCTTTCCCAGAGGAGCAAATACTAAGGGGATACTCCACCACAAGACCAGACTTACAGGAAATGCTCAAAGGACTCCTAAACATGAAAAATGAAAGAATGATACTTGCTACCATAAAAGCACATGTAAGTGCAAAGCTAACAGATTCTAAAAATCAATTACATAATTGAGATTAGAAAGAAACAAATTAACAATATGTCAGGAATGAGACCCTTGAACATAAGAAGCTTAAATGCTCCACTTAAGAGACATAGATAGCAAATTGATTCAGAAAACAAGGCCCAAGCTTCTGCTTACTTCCAGAAACCTAACTCATGAGTAAGGATACCCCACACACTCAAAGTAAAGAGATGGAAAAATATCTATTATGAAAATGGAAACAAAAAAGAGTCAGGGGTTGCTATTCTTGTATGAGATTAAACAGACTTTATACCAAAAATGGTAAAAAGAAACAAAGAAGGGCATTGTATAATGATACAGGGTTCAATTCAACAAGAATATTTATCTATCCTAAGCATATACTTACCCAACATGAAAGCACCTAGATTTAGGAAACAAATACTCCAAGAACTAAGAAAAGAGATAGAAAGCCAAACAATAATAATTGTGACAGACTTCAATACCCTACTGCTAGCATTAGACAGATCACTGGGGCAGAAAACTAACGAAGAAAATTTGGACTTAAATTGAGTTATTCGCCAAATAGACCTAATAGATATTTACAAAATACTCCACCCAACAATCCAGAGTATACATTCTTCTCATCTGCCTAATACATTCTCTAAGATTGACCACATGCTCAGTTATAAAGCAAGTCTCAATAAATACAAAAAATATTGAAATCATATCAAGCATATTCTTGGACTACAGTGGAATAAAATTAGAACTGAATCCCACAAGGAACTCTCAAAACCACACAAATACATGGAAACTAAACAACTAGCTCCTAAATGACTTTTGGGTAAACACAAAATTAAGACAGATATCAAAAAAATCTTTGAAAAAAGAACACAGAGACACAAATTACCAAAACTTCCTAAATACAGCAAAAGCAGTGTAAGAGGAAAGTTTATAGCGCTAAATACATAAATCAAGAAGACAGAAAGACTTAACAACCCAACATCACACCTAAAGGAACTGGAAAAAAACAAAAACAAACTAAATGAAAAGCTAGCGAAAGAAAATAAAGAACTGATATCAGAGAAGAACTAAATAAAATCGAGACAAAGGAAATCATACAAAGGATCAGTAAAAAATGGTTCTTTGAAAGGATAAACAGGATTGATACACTGCTAGATAGACTAACTAAGAACAAAAGAGAAAATCCAAGTAAGCACAATAAAAATGACAGAGGTGACACTAAAATTGATACCACAGAAATAAAAAGATCCTCAGAGACTATTATTAATATTTCTGTGGGCACAAAGTAGATAACCTACAGGAAATGGATAAATTACTGGAGATACACAACTTTCCAAGAGTGAACCAGGAAGAAATTAAAATACTGAACAGACCAATAATGAGTTACAAAACTGAATCAGTAACAAAAAATAGATCTACCAAAAAATTCCCTGAATCAGACAGATTCAAGGAGAGGGGATTCCTCTCTAAATTATTCTATAAAACCAGTTTCTTCCAGATACCAAAATCTGGCAAGGACAAAACAAAAATTGGACACTACAGGTCAATATTCCTGATTAACCTAGTCACAAAAGTCCTCACACAAATACTAGCAAACTGAATATAGCAGCATAAATTGGGCTTTATTCCAGAAATGCAAGGATGCTTTAACATATGTGACTCAATATATGTGATTCACCACATAAATAGAATTAAAAATAAAAACATATTATCTCAATAGATGCTGAAAGAACATTTGATTAAATCCAACATCCCTTCATAATAAAAAAAAACCTTTCAACAAACTAGGCATACAGGGAACATGTCTCAAAATAATAAGAGTCATGTATGACAAACCCACAGCCAACATCATACTGAATGGGCAAAAGTTGGAGGTATCCCCCCTAAAAACTAGGAAAAGACAAGTATGTCTATTTTCACCAGGCCTATTCAATGTAGTACTGGAATTCCTAGCCAGAGCAATCAGGTGAGAGAAAAAAAAAAAAAGACATCCATATAGGAAAAGAGGAAGTCACATTATCTAAGATCATCAGATATCTATCTTTACCTTCAGTAAAGGTTTAGAGTACAAAATCAAAATACAAACATTAATAGCAATATACAACAATAACATTCAAGCTGAGAACCAAATCAAGAATGCAACAACATTTACAATAGCCACCAAAAAATAATACCTAGGAATACATTTAACCAAGTAGGTGAAAAACCTCCAAAAGCGGAACCACAAAGCATTGCTGAAATAAACCATAGATGATATAAACAAATGAAAAAAAGTTCCATGTTCAAGGACTGGATGAATCAATATTGATAAAATGACCATACTGCCAAGAGCAATCTACAGAGTCATGCAATTTCTATCAAATTACCATCATTCACAGATTAGAAAAAACTATTCTAAAACTCATATGGAACCAAAAAAGGAGCCCAAATAGCCAAAGCAATCCTAAGCAAAGTGAACAAAGCCAGAGATACCACATCACCCAAATTCATACTATTCTACAAGGTTATAGTAACCAGAAGAGCATGGTACAAGTAAAAATCAGACACACATACCAACGGAACAGAATAGAGAACCCAGAAATAAAGCCACACAGCTACATCTTATTGATGTTTGACAACGTCAACAAAGATAAACAATGGTGAAAGAACGTGCAAGCCATTCAATAAATGATGCTGGGAAAACTGGCTAGCCATATGCAAAAGAGTAGAACTGGACCCCTATCTCTCACTGTATACAAAAATCAACTAAAGATTAAAGACTTGAATATGAGACTTGAACTACAGAAGTCCTAGAAGAAACCTAGGAAAAACTCTTCTGGACATTGGCCTAGGAAAATAATTTATGACTAAGACCTCAATAGCAAATGCAACAAAATAAAAATTGACAAATGGAACTTAAACTAAAGAGCTTCTTCACACCAAAATAAACTATCAATAGAGTACACAGACAACCTACAGAATGAGAGAAAGTATTCACAAACGATACATCCTATAAAGGACTAAAATAAAGAATTTATAAGAAACTAAAAAATCAACAAAAAATAAAAAAAGAATTCTTAAAAAGTGGGAAAAGGACATAAAATGACACTTCTCAAAAGAAAGCATACACAGTCAAGAAATATAAGAAAAAAAATGCTCAACATCACTAATCATCAGAGAAATGCAAATCAAAACCACAATTAGATACCATCTCATACCACTCAAAGTGACTATTATTTAAAAGTAAAAAAAAAAAAAAGATGTTTTTGTGGATGCAGGAAAATGGGGATGCTTATTCACTGTTAGTGGGTATGCATACTAGTACAACCTCTATGGAAAACAGTGTGGAAATGTCTCAAAGAACTAAAAATAGAGCTACCGTTTGATCCAGCAATCCCACTATTAGGTATGTCCCCAAAGAAAAAGAAACTTGTATGTTTATCACAGCACTATTTATAATAGCAAAGACATGAAATCAACCTACATGTTCATCAATGGAAAAATGGATAATGAAAATTCGGTACATACACATGAAGGAATGCTACACAGCCATTAAAAAGAATGAAATTATGTCCTTTCCAGAAACATGGATGCAGCTGGAGGACATTTTCTTAAGTGAAATAATACAGAAACAGAAAACCAAATAACACATGTTTTCACTTATAAGTGAGAGGGAAACAACAAATACACATGGACATAAAGATGGAAACAATAGACACTGGAGACTACAAAGTGGGGAGGAGCCTGGCACAGTGGCTCATGCCTGTACTCCCAGAACTTTGGGAGGCTGAGTTGGGCACATCACTTGAGCTCAGGAGTTCAAGCCTGGGTTAATCCTCTAAGTAGAAATAACAATCCATAAAATGTATGTGCCTAACAACAAAGCATCATAATATATGAGGATCTGCAAGGAGGAATAGAGAAATCCAGCATTATAGTTCAACATTTCAACATTTCTCTATCAGTAATTGCCAGATCTAGCAGGCAGAAAAATAGTAATGATACAGTTGAACAGAACAGAACCACCATTAAACTATATGTAATTGATATTTATAGAACATTTTATCCAACAGCAGCATAATACACATGCTTCCTAATTTCACACAGAGCATTCACCAGGATACACCACAGTTTTGAGCATAAAGCACACTCTAACAAATTTATTTTTTATTATGTTTTATTTTTAATTTACAGTAATTATATGCTTATGGAATACAGTGTGATGTTTTGATAAACCATTGTAGAATAATTAAATCAAGCTAATTAACTTATCTTTCATCTTGCCTGTTTTTCAATTTTGTGTGTGGAGAACTTTTAAAATTGAACTCTTTTAGGGATTTTGAAATATAAATTATTATTAACTGTAGTCATCATGCTATGAAACTGGTCACTAAAATTTATTCCTCCTGTCTAAAACTTTGTACCCTTTGACCGATATTTCCCCTTTCCCCACCCCCATTCCAAGCCTCTAGTAATCACCATTCTACTCTCTACTTCTTTAAGTTGACATTGTTTACATTCAGCATATGTAAGTGAGATCATGCAGTATTTATCTTTCTGTCTGGTTTATTTCACTTAGCACAGTTTCCTCCAGGTTCACCAATGTTGTTGAAAATGACAGAATTCCCCTTTTTATCCCATTATGTATATATACCATATTTTCTTTATCCATTTATCCATTAATGGACACTTAAGTTGCTTCCATATCTTGGATATTGTGAATAATGCTACAATGAAAATGGGAGTGCAGATTTATCTTCAACATACTGGCGTCAATTTCTTTGGATATATACTCAGAAGAGGTATTGCTGAACCATGTGATAATTCTATTTTTAGCTTTTAGAGAAACTTCATACTCCTTATCATAGTGGCTGTACTAATTTACATTTCCACTGACAGTCTATCAGGGTTTCCTTTTCTCCACATCCTGGCTAAAACTAGTTATCTTTCATCTTTTGGATACTACTTATTCTGACAGATATGAGGTTTTAATAATTGGGATTTTAATAAGTTTTTAGGATACAAGGTTAATATACAAAAGTCAATTGATGCCTCATGTACCAGCAATGAACAATGGAATTTGAAATTAAAAACTCAATATCACGTATTCTACCACCTAAAAAATCCTGAAATAGTCACAAAGCTAACAAAATATGGACAAGATATTTGTTATTTCTATGTGAAAAAATTTATAAAACTGTGATTAAAGAAATAACTGAATATCTAACTGAAAGGAAAGATATCTCATACACGGACAGAAAGACTCAATATTGTCAAGATGGCTATTTTCCTAACTTGATTTCAAGATTCAACACAATCACAATAAAAATGAAAATTAGGTATTTTGTGAACATTCACAAATATTCTAAAGTTTATATGAAATGACAAAAGATATAGGATAGCTGACACAATTTTGAACAAGAACAAAGTTGGATGACTGACACTATATAACTTCAATACTCGTTATAAAGCTACATTAATAAAATAGTGTGATACTAACAATGGACAAGTAGATTCAATAGAAAGCACAGAGAGCCCCAAAATAGATCCATACTAATGTTATCAATTGATTTTTGATAAAAGAGTGAAAGCAGTTCATGGGAAAAGGATATTCTTTTCAAGAAATGGTGCTGGAAAACTGTACATACATGTTCAAAAATAATAATAATCTTACTTCTTTCACAAAAATTAACTAAAAATAAATGATACAACTAAATGTAAAATGTATAATCTGTACACCCCAAACCCATGACACACAAATTACTTATATAACAATCCTGCACATGTACCCCCAAACCTAAAATAAAAGTTAAAAAAAAAGTTGACATGACCACAAAACAAAAAACTAAAAACCCTCTTAGCAAAACATGTAGGAGGAAACCTAAATGATCTTGGATTTGGTGATGACTTTTTACATATAAGACAAAAAGCCTGATCCAGGAAATAAAAGGTAGGTAAACTGGACTTAATTAAATGTAAATGCTTATTCTCTATCAAAAATACTGTTAAGAGAATGAGAAGAAAAGCCACTAAAGGAACATATTTGCAAAACACATTGATAAATGACTGATACCTGAAATATGCAAAAAACACTTAGGTCTCAAGAAAAAAAAAACAATAAAAAAAATCTAAAAATATGAATAGAAAGCTTCCCTAAGAAGGCATACAGATGGCATAATTGCATATGAGCATACAAAAATATATCATTAGAGAATTGCAGATTAAAACAATATAATACCACTATACACCTATTAGAATGGGCAAAATTTAAAAGACCGACAGCATCAAATGATAATAAGGATATGTAACAACAGGTACTCTCATTTATTGCTGGTAAAAATACAAAATTGTACAGATATTTGGGAAAAAGAGTGGCAGTTTCTTGCATAACTAAACATGCTCTTACCATATGACCCAGAAATTCTGCTCCTTAGTATTTACCCAAAGAAGTTGGAAACTTACATTTACACTAAAATCTGCACATAAATGTTCATAGCAGCTCTTTTCATAATGGAATAAATTTAAAAGCAACCAAAATGTTTTTAATAGGTGTATAGGTAACCAAACTGTCATATATGCATGCAATGGAATATTCAGTGGTTTTAAAAAAACTATCAGAAAAAAATAGAAGAACTTTAAATGTATATTGCTAAGTGAAATAAACTAATCTGAGAAGGCAACATAACTGTATAATTTTAAGGATATGACCTTCTGGAAAAAGCAAAACTATTCTGAGAATAAGAAGATTAGTGATTGGTAGAAATTTCTGTAATATATGGAGCACATAGGCTTTTTATGGCACTGAAACTATTCTGTATGATAATGTAATGGTAGATACATGTCATTATACATTTGTCCAAACCCATAGAATGTAAAACACAAAGTGAGACCTATAACGTAAACTGAGGACTTCAGTTAATAATGCATCAATATTGGCTCATCAATTGTAACAAACATACTTCTGTTTTTTCTACTAGCCTTAAACTCCTGAAAAATATGGTACATTATTTTTTTTTTAAGTTAACCAAGAAAAAATAATAGTGGAGTACTGATAAATGCTACAGATCATGAAAGAACATCAAAAGATGTGCTAAGCAAAATAATACTCTCACAAAGGACCACTTTTTTATGATTCAATTCAAAGGCAAATCTGTAGAGGCAAAAAGTAAATTAAAGATTGTCTAAGACTTGGTTGAAGAAGGAATAGGGTATCGAGGCTATTGGGTACAGGGTTTCTTTTCAAAGTAATAATAATTTTCTAAAATTAGGTAGTGGTAATGACTGCATAATTTTGTGACTATACTAAAGACTTCTAATTTGTACATTTTAAAGGGATGAATTTCATGGTATGTGAATTATATCTCAAAGAGGTAATAGTTATAAAAACAAATGAAAAAGCTGTAAGATGGAAAAAGGAAATATCCACATAAACTTTATTCTAACTGATAAAGTTGTTTTCCATGGGCACATGGGTTAACACTACTGAAACCACTATACACTTGTACTGGAATTGAACAAATAAGTTAATTGATATTGACTGATATGAGCCAGCTTTTTCACTGTTGTAGTTGGGAGTTACAGATATGCAAAGAAAGTGGGCTCGAATAATCCACGTGATAATAAAGTTGAAGATTATAGTATTAATTTATGATTAGCTTAAGTATAATGATGGCTTTTAAAGTGTCAGTCATACCTCAATAAAATAATTTTTTAATGATCAGCTTAATATAAACATAGTTGGTTACATGCAGAAATAGGTAAAGGTATATGTATATACATGAGTGAGTATATGTAAAATTTTGTTTGTATTCCCTGATAGGGCCTAGAAACAAAAGCATCTCAGTAAGAACAGGCATGACTAGTGTTGTGATTTTAGTTTCTAATACAGCTTTCCAATAAAAGAACCAGGAATACTTGTAGTAAAAGCCGATTTTAGAACTAGGGTAAGAAATACACAAAAATTATCCTGAAGCAACTTACAGTGCCAGAAAATACAAAAGTGTTTAAAACCCTTGATATGATGTAATGAATGGTACTTTGTATCTGTGGTCTTCTCCAAAACTCATAGCCTCCGAGTGCCAAACAAATAAAGCAAACTTAAAAAAAAATTGAGCAATATTCTATAAAATGTCTGACCAGTAGTATGTAAAATTCTTAAAGTTATCAAAAGGAAAATGTCTCAGAACTGTCACAGATCATATCGGACTAAGAAATGACTAAATGTAATGTCAATTCTGATTGAGATTCTTGAAAATGACATTAAGAAATAACTATTAAAATCTAAATAATGTGTAAAGTATACACATAATGTATATACTATATATAATATATAGTGTATAAAATACATGGTATATAATATATAGTGTATATAATACATAGTATATTATATATGATATGTATATATTTTATATATATATAGTATTTTGCTGATGTTGGTTCCTTCACTGTGAGAAATGCATCAAAGTCATATAAAATGTTAACAATATGGGAGAATGGATAAGATACAGGAAACACGATTTTTCTACGTATTTAAAACTATTCTAAAATTGAAAGTTTAAATTTTAAAAACATGATAAACAAATGTTAATATAATGTTGCCAATTTTTTTTTTTTTTTTTATGGAGTCTCGCTCTGTCACCAGGCTGGAATGCAGTGGCGCGATCTCAGCTCACTGCAACCTCCGACTCCCTGATTCAAGCAATTCTCCTGCCTCAGCCTCCCGAGTATCTGGGATTACAGGCACGCACCACCACGACTAGTTAATTTTTGTATTTTTAGTAGAGACAGGGTTTCACCATGTTGGCCTGAATGATCTCGATCTCCTGACCTTGTGATCTGCTCACCTCGGCCTCCCAAAGTGCTGGGATTACAGACGTGAGCGATCGTGCCTGGCCTAATGTTGCCAATTTTAAAAAACAGTCAGTTAAAAACATTTGGAGTCCTAAAGAAAAACATGCATTTAAGCAGAAATAGATAATTTTAATCTTTTATTTAACTGACACATGGAGTGGAATGCTTTTCATAAATGGATATTCTGATTAATACCTACATACTGCGTAAACCATACAGAAATTATTTTCTTAAGACATTGGAAAATGTATGCTATGCACTTCACGTTTTAAAATATTTTAAAGATAATCAAATTTCTACTCTATGATATAGTAATGACTTCTAGATTTTATAATAGTTTGGATCATTATTATTAGCCTAATAAAGTATCATATTCCATGGCTTCTATTATTTATGAACAAGAAGATAAATAAATGGCTTTAATAAAAAGCTAATTGCACACATTATAGTTATTGGCAGAGGACTATTGAATTTAACATGTTTTATTTTACTAATTTTTTCAGGAATATGTCATAAATTAAACAATATGCATTAATATAGTATCTAAAATGAGTAAATTTGACCATTGTCACTGATCATAAAATGTGTTCTCTCAAATATTATACTAATATTTAACCAGTACTTTGAAAGCCAAAATTACTGAAAATGTGAAAAAATATTCAAATATAGCATGACAAAGCAAAAGGAAATCAATGTTGTTGATGGACACTGATTTTGTAAGTGATAGTTTGCCAGAAATCTAATGGTAAGGTAACTATTAATAGTTAAAATAAAAATAATTTTCTGTTATATGTTTATTTACTCCACCAGTAGGGAAATCAACAATAAAATGACAGGTTTTTAAAAAACTGCCACTTAGTAAATGTTTACGGTTCCACCACTACTATCTGAAATACAGCATATCTGCTGACAGAGTTCTAAAATAAGTTTGGGTTTTAATTTCATTCAAGTTATCACACACAATTTTCAAATTGTTTTTGTGAACATTTGAAGGTGTGTTTTCTAATCCTATTTTATCCACATGAGTGTATCTACAATTACATGGAGGCCTTTCTAAAAGTTATATAATAAATATTGCTTTATAGCAAATTACCATCCTAACCAGGAGAAGTAAAAATTTCAGATTTTTAGTATCTTTGAAATAAAATATTTAATATGGTTATTTAAAATATTGGGAGGCCAAGGTAGGCAGATCACAAGGTCAGGAGATCGAGACCATCCCAGCTAACACAGTGAAACCCCGTCTCTATTAAAAATACAAAAAGAAAATTAGCCGGGCGTGGTGGTGGGCACCTGTAGTCCTAGCTACTCGGGAGGCTGAGGCAGGAGAATGGCGTGAACCCAGGAGGCGCAGCTTGCAGTGAGCCAAGATGGCGCCACTGAACTCCAGCCTGGGCGACAGTGCGAGACTCTGTCTCAAAAAAAAAAAAAAAATTACTTCCTTTTTATGATCTTTATTAACCTTTCTTGTGGATTTATAATGTTTCATGATGCTTGTCTTTCTGTGTAGAATTATTTTCACATATTCTTTTAAGGTATCAAACACTTCAGTAGTAAGTTGAGTTGTTTTCTTTTTTGGATTTGTTTCTAGTTTTTGCTTGTTTATTTTTGTTGTTGCTGTTGTTTTAGTTTATAAACCAAGACCATAAAAATATAAGTAAAAGTGTGTGTTCATTGCCTTATATGTTAAAATTACCTAATTATAGCCTTATCAGATATTTCCACTTCTGACCAACATGGAGTAACATAGGATATAACTTGCCATCTGAAACAAACAAACAAAAAATTTAGATACAATATATGAAAGATGATTTTCAAGACACTGAACTTCAAGCAAAGGACAGTGATCCCAGAGAGTCAGCCAGGAAATAAACAAGGTAAGACCTACATCACCCCAGTTTCTTGCCTTAAGAAATTTTCTAGGCCATGGCTCGGGTATGACAATCTAATAACAATAGTGGTGGATTCAGGGAGTAAAAGACAGGGAGTTAAGACACTGGGTAGACCAAGAGAACTAGAATTTGCATGACAACATAGCAGAGAGAAGAGAGCTGCACACTGAGATAATTCCATAGTTCTTCATTCAGATGGTCTGATTTCAAATATTTCATAAAAGTAGTGATCAGTGCAGATGTGTGAGGCAACTAACCAATACTAGGGAAAAGTTATTTTAAAGGAATAGTGTCTTGTGTTTACACAGGGCTGGAAAATATGCATGTTCCCACAAGCCACAGAGGAAAAACACATAATTCACAGGAAAATGGATACTGCAATCAGGAAAGTCTTGCCTCAGTAATGGAGAATAATTAGGACAAAATAGAGCCAAAAAGAACAAAAAACTTCAGTATGTATTAGAAGTGGAGGTATAATTTACTCAATCTATATTAAAAATAGTTTTACAAATTTTATTTCTGAAAGAGATGATATGGAGTGCTTTCTCTGAGAACAAGTAGAAAAACCAGATATATTACAAAAACTGTATTTTAAGGCATTAGAAAACTTTAGAAGCCATGATAACTAGGGAAATGAATTTCCAGGAAGTGACAAGTTTTCAGAGATGAGCTGAGGATCCGTAGCTGATATTTCTATGAAAGCATTTGCCTAATGCCTCAGAATGATAGCACTAGCTATATGTGGCAAACTCAGTGTATACATAAATTAACAAAAATTAAATAAACATTGAATTCTATAGTCACACCATTCATACAACAAGCACTTGATAGCCACATGTGACTGACAAATATCCCTTTGTGTATGTACAGATATGTACATAATATTTCCATCATAAGATGAAAATATAAAAAATTACATGATCATTTCAATGAATGCAGAATAATTTAAAAATAAACTTTAATATACATTAATTCCTCTTAAAAAAATTCTAAGAAACTTTATCAGTCAGATTTCTTCAGAAAAAATTTTAAGAGAAGGAGAGAGAAAGACTTTAAGGAATGGGTTCACATGATTGTGGAGTTTAGTAAGTCTGAAATCAATAGGACACGCCTACAGGCTGGAAACTCAGGCAAGAGTTGATGTAGTCTTCACTCTAAAAATTGTAGAACATGCTTCCAGGATGGAATGTCAGGCAGGAATTTTGTTAGTCTTGAGATAGGTTTTCTTCTATTCTGAGAAACCTCAATTTTTGAGCTTAAGGCCTTCAACCATTTAGAAAAAATCCTCCATATTATCCAGAGTTATCTCCTTTAGTTAAAGTCAGCTGAAAACAAGGTTAATCACATCTAAAAAAATACCTGCACAGAATGGTTTAGACTAGTGTTTAACCAAACAACTGGACATCATAGTCTAACTTATTTGACACATACAGTTTAATAATCTAGTTCACCACCTGTCAACTTGACACCCATCTACATCTCATTAACCCACACTTACCTCAAAATAAAGACAATGACAAAGTCATACTTCCACCTAACATGATATAATCACTCTGTGCACAACAAAAAATTCACTAACTCTTTCTCCAACAAAAAAAAAATTTGAAGTCCTCGGCAATGTTCACTCCTATTCTTCATATCCTGTAATGTGATACTAAAATTTAAACTTAACAACACTTAAATATTATAATGGAACATTAATATATTATACGTTATATGATAATAAGATAACAGAGAGTAAATAAAGATAATAAGTACATACACATAAACATACAAACATTCATAAAAAATATGAAAAAAATAATCATAGGAATTATTCCTGCAACTGGTCATGTGGTCAAACTTTTATTCAAAAACTACCTTCTTTGACTACCCATTCCATATTCCCTTTGCCCATTGCAAGCACATAAGCTGAACATGGCACTTAGCTTTAGGAAATGACCAAGCCTTTACTTCTGAAGTATTTGAGCCCTTAGCAATCCTGCCTAAATCGAGTTTTCATAGTTTTCCATTGACTTGAATCATAGAACAAGGTAGTACTAAAAAGGTGCCTTAATGCATCTGGTTCCACAGCTTCACTTTACATTACTCCAATGTATTTTCCAAGCTTAGGTATGGAGCCCTAAAACCAAAACTTGATCTGAGGGATTCAGAGACAGTAGACAGCAGAAGGCTACGGTACCACGCAGGTGAGCATGATTGTTTCTGCCAACTAGGCCTTCCTGCTTCATGGGTGAAGAATTTGCTTGCATCCGTGGCATAGATGAGGTCTAGGGAACCCAAAGGTTACCAACAGTGGAAGGCTAAGGCACAGCGTAGGTAAGTGTGACCATCCCTAATGACTAGGCCTTCCTACTTCATGGTTGGCACTTGCACTTGTGTCCATGGGTGGTGCACCTAGTGGCTTCCAGGACTCGGAAAAGGGAAGAAAGAAAGGGATGCCTTTTTTTCTCTCGCTCACATACCCCAGGATTTCACTGGAAGAGAGAAGGGAACTAAGGGATGCCTTTCCCCTTTTCTTTCAGATGGGTAACAAACTATCTTCAGCCTGCACTTCTCTTGAGTGCATCCTGAATCACTGGGACTCTTTGACCCTCAGACTCTGGGCAAAAAATATGCCTTATATTCCTTTGCACAAAGGCTTGGCTAGGTTATAAGCTGCAAAGGAAAATCGGAAGGGACTAGGGAAGCAAATCTCAGAGGTGCCTTCAGCAGAGGAGTCATCTCCCTCCAATCCTGCTCCTCCTGGTCCACTCGATCATCCCTATTCAGGTTCTCTCTCAAGTTTGCCTCATCCTAGAAATCCTCATTTTAGGCAAGTCCCAGTCTCATTCCTTCCCCTGCAAGAAATACCTGGTGAATATTTTCCCATTACGGTCCCAGGTCCCCTTTTCTCTACAGGACTTAAGGTAAAAGGCAAATTAAGGGTGATCTCGGCAAGTTTTCAGATGACTCTGACAGGAATATACAGGCTTTCCAGAATTTAACCCAAGTATTTAAACTCTCCTGGAAGGATATTACTTTTGAATCAAACCCTGACTACTGCTAAAAAGCAGTAGAATTATTAGGATGAGCTTTGTATCTCATATAGTGCCAAGGAAGCGGATGAGCCTTACCCAATGGGAAGAATAGCAGTACCAGTGGAGGACCTTAAATGGGACCCCAGTGATGAAATGGAAAAATGGCAGAGGAAACACTTTAGGTGTGCATATTGGAGGGCTTACAAAAGACTAGAACTAAGCCTCTCAATTACTCCAAACTATCCATGATAGACCAGGAATTAGAGAATCCCATTGCCCTTCCTGGAAAAGCTAAGAGATGCCTTGGTAAAACACAACCCTCTATCTCCAGATTCAGTTGAAGAACAACAAATCCTAATTCAGCTAATCCTAATCTAATTGAACAACTAATCCTGATTCAATTGGAGAACAACTAAAATCAGGAAGAAACTGCAGAAACAGCCCCTGGGACCAGATAGTACTTTAGAGAACCTCCTGAAAGTAGTTACCTCAGTCTTTTACCATAGGAATCAGGAGAAGGCTCAGGAGAGAGAGATAAGAGACACAAGAAAAAGGCAGAAGCTCTCATGGCTGCCTTGCAGGCTCACAAATCCCAGAATCCCTGAGAAGCACCTGTTAACTGCTACAAATATGGCAAGCCATGGCACTTTAGGAAAAACTGCCCTGGAAGAGTAAGGAAGCCACTTCAACCCTGTTTAATCAGCAATGGGGACCACTAGAGGGTGGACTGTTCCCAGATTCAGGTCACTGGGTCCAGAGCCAATCTCTCAAATGGTCCAGCAGGACTGATGAGACTGGAGTTCCTCTCCCTGGCTGCAATGGTTGAGATTGTCATTACTATCCAGGAGTCCTGGGTGATTCTGGAGGTTGAAGGGAGGAAGGTGGACCTCTTCCTCGACAATTAAGTGGCCATTTCTGTTCTCCTTTCCATTCTGGGCCTCCACTCCCTTAGCATGACTGTGAGGGGCATCTCAGGAAAGCCTTTAACATGACATTTTTCCCAACCTCTTAGTTGTAATTGGGGAGACCTCTTGTTTACTTATGACTTTTTAATCATGCCTGAAAGCCCAATTCTTCTGCTGGGCAGGGATATCTTAGCTTATATGAAAACCACCATCCTTATGGCTCCAGGACAGACTCTTTGCATCCCCCTTATGGAGACCAATATTAGCCCAGAAGTTTAGGCAAGTCAAGGAATGATTGACTGAGCCACAACTGCCATACTGGTCTGGATCCACCTTAAAGATCCCACCTGCTTTCCTAACCAGAGATAATGTCTCCTAAAACCAGAAGTTAGGAAAGAGCTAAAAACTATTATTGATAATTTGAGGATGCAGGACCTCCTCAAACCCTGCAACAGCCCGTGTAATACCCTGGTGTTGGGGGTACAGAAACCCAATGAGGAATGGAGACTGGTCCAGGACCTCCAACTCATTAATGAGGCTGTGGTTCCAATTCATACAGTGGTTTCCAATTCATATACCCTGCTAACACAAATACCTAGAGATCTAAGTGCTTCACAGTCCTGGACCAAAAGGATGCACTTTTCTGCATACTGCTACACCCCAACTCCCAGTATTTGTTTGAATTCAAGAATCTCTCCAACCATACCACCCAGCTAACCTGGATGGTGTTACCTGAGGTATTCTGAGACAGCTCCCACCTGTTTGGGGAGGCAGTGTCAAAAGATCTCTGAGGGTTCCTTTATCCTCAGGTTAAAGTTTTACAATGAGTAGGTGACATTCTCTTCTGTGCCCCAACTGAGGAAATTTTCAGGAGGGCAGTAAGGCTCTTCTTAATTTTCTGGCTAATGGAGAATATAAGGTCTCAAAATCTAAGGCTCTGCTCTGTCAGAATTCAGTATAGTGCCTAGGTCTAATCTTGTTAGAGGGGACAAGGGTGCTAGGCAAAGAAAGGATTAAGCCCATCTCCTCCTTTTCCCTTCCCAAAACCATCGAGCAACTGAGGGGATTCTTGGGCATTACAGGATTCTTCAGATTATGCATTCCTTGGTACAGTGAGATAGCTTATCCCTTATATCACCTATTAAAGGAAACTCAAGCAGCTAAGACTCACTCCCTAATTTAGGAACCAGAGGCTAAAAGGGCCTTTGACTAATTGAAACAAGCCTTGCTTGAGGCACTGACCCTTAGTCTTTCCTTAGACAGATGGTCAATCTTTACATACCAGAAAGGAAAGGAATGGCCCTGGGAGTTCTAACCCAGGCCCAAGGTCCAGCCCAGCATCCTGTAGGCTACCTAAGCAAGGAGCTTGTGTTGGTAGCTAAAGAATGACCAGCCTGCCTCTGGGCAGTTGCAGCAGCAGCCTTGCTGGTACCAGAGGCTACTAAGTTAACCGTGAGGAATAACTTAACTGTTTATATCCCACATAATGTGGCAGGAAGGCAGTCTCTGGCTAATGGACATCAACCTTCTCAATTATCAAGCGCTGCTATTAGAGGGATCTATGGTCCAGTTCAGAAGCTGTCCCTCCCTAAACCCAGCCACCTTTCTCCCAGAGAAAGCTGGGGAGCTTGAATGGGATGTGAACAGATAGTAGTGCAAACCTATGTGGCCAGAGAGAACCTCAAAGAAACCCCCTTAGAAAACCCAGACTGGACTCTTTAAAGACTTTTGTGGAACTAACTGGGTAGAAACATTTCCAAGTCAAATAGAGAAAGCCTCTGAGGTGATAAAAGGACTAATTAATGAAATAATTCCTCACTTTGGACTCCCTAAATACTTCCACAGTGATAATGGCCCTTTATTCAAGACAGCTGTCACAGAGGGGGGTCTCAAAGGCACTAGGAATATAATACTATCTTTATTTTGCTTATAGACCACAATCCTTAGGAGACCTAGAAAAGACGAATTATATTATCGAAAGACACCTCAAAAATCTGTCTCAAGAGATTCATTTCCTCTAGATTACTCTTCTTTCCATGTTCCTACTATGTGTTAGGGACATCCCTTCAAAATTGGGATTAAACCCCTTTGAAAAAAATACATGGGCCGGGCACGGTGGCTCATGCCTGTAATCTCAGCACGTTGGGAGGCCAAAGTGGGCAGATCACTTGAGGTCAGAGTTCGAGATCAGACTAGCCAGCATGGTGAAACCCCATCTCTACTAAAAATAAAAAGCATTAGCCAGGTGTGGTGGCTCACAACTGTAGTTCCGGCTACTTGGGAGGCTAAGTCATGAGAATTGCTTTAACCCAGAAGGTGGAGGTTGCGGAGAGCCAAGATCATGCCACTGCACTCCAGCCTGGGCCACAGAGTGAGACCCTATCTCAAAAAAAAAAAAAAAAAGGGATATATGAACGGGATTTTCTCACCAATGATTTCTTGCTAGTCCAAGAAACCTCTGATGCCTCTACACTGATGAAACATGTAACTTCTTTGGCCCATTTCAAACAGGAACTGAAACAACTGTTGGAGGCCCAACTCTGTGAACTAGGACCATGTCTATTCAACCCAGGGGACTCAGTACTGGTAAAGGCACTTCCTTCCCTTTCTCCCTCTCTAGGCCTATATTGGGAAGGAATGTACACTGTACTTGTTTCTACTCCTTTGGCAGTAAGGGTCACTGGAATAGATTTTTGGATTCATTATAGTTGAGTAAAGGCCTGGGAAACACAGAATTACCTCTGTTGACACAGAAGAGCACCCAGAGCACCAGTGTGAAGAAATTGGAGACCTCAAGCTAAAAATCACAAAAGATAAATGTCAATAATTATTAACCTTCCATGAATACTCTCTTTACAGTCTCACCTGTGCTCGCTGTTCTTGCCTTTGTTCTGTTCTTTACCATAAGGTATCTTTGCCAAGGACCCCTTAATCCTGAATGCCCAGGGATTACTACTTCCCTAAATAGCTATCTACCTTCTAAAGTTTAACTGCCCTCCTGCATACCAGATTTAATTTCTTTCACCAAGTTAAAACAGCTCTGGCCACAACATTGTTTTCAGAATGATTAGTCTCTTTTACTTCTTATTTCTGTTTTCTTTGGCACTAGATTTTTTGCCCTTTTGGCTTCTCTTTGTATAATACTCATATTTGGTCCATGCATATTTAACCTTGTAAAATCTCTCTCCTCACCTAGAGGCCATTAAATGGTTATGCAAATAGAGCCTCAGATGATGACTCCCTTTTACCAGGGACCCTTAGCTAGGCCTCTGAGAGAGAGATGACTGCCATTTTTACAAAATAATGCCCCCATCAGCAAGAAGCAGTTAGAGCAGTCACCATCCCTATCCTAATGGCAGTTAGATGTACCTCTTTGGAGGGAAAATTGATGGCAGCAGGAGACAGACAAATTCCTAGGCAGACAGGGATGTTTCCCCAGTGAAACCCAATCTTCAAGCCAAAGACAGTTTAAATCCTGAAAACTGAGCTGCCAGTTCCAGGAAGAGTCCATGACTGGAGTGAGAACTTCCTTGATGCCTTTTAGCCAATCAAATGGTGCTTTTTCCAGGCCCACCCATGGGCCATCAACATGCACTCCGCTATTCTGAGCCCATGAAAACCTTGGACTCAGCCACACAGACGGCTACTCACTTTTAGGTCCCCTCTCACACAGAGTGCTACCTGCTCTTGGGTCCCTTCTCCGGTGAGAGCTTTCCTTCTGTCGGCTCAATAAAATTCTTTGCCCTACTCACTCTTCCGTGTTGCATACCTTACTCCTTTTGTTCATGGGACAAAAACCTGGAACTTGCCAAGCTGCAGGCAGCGGACCAAATGAGCTATAAAACACCCCCATTTGTGGAGCTGTGGGCGGTGGGACCGAAAGAGCTGTGACACACAGCAGGAATGAGCAAGAGCTGTAGCATTTCTTGGGGGATTAGACCTCTGGACTCCCCGGGCAAGAGCTGTAACAACCCTTGGGGCTCCATGGTTGCTGGCATCTCCAAGTTTTCAGGCACCACCATGTTCCCCTTATTTAAACACCAGCACCCAATGCAGAGGCTGCTTGCACCATGCCTGATCCAGCCACAGGCTGACCATGGATCCTGCAGTGGGCACAGGATCTGGGCCAGGGTGCAAGCCAAGTGCAGCCTGTCGGACTGAGAGGGTGTAGTGAGACTGGCCAGCCTGAGCAAGGGCCCAGGCAGAAGTCATGGCAGCCGTGGAGATTTCCGGCTGGTGAAGTGGCACTGAAGGAACACTGTAACACTGTAACCCTTCCTCCTGCTCGCTGAGCAATGGGAAGAAAAAACTGCTGAGTGCCATTTCCCTCCACTCGTCGAACTACAAAAGCCACACAGTAGTTAGACAGGCATGAGTGGGACATGAGAGGGCTCTTCCCCGACACCCATCAGGAATGTCAGGTGACCATCAGGTGATGGTTTGGCAGTTACTATATTGCCTCTCTAAAATGATAATTTGGCAGCCAGTGCCAAGGAAAGACAATCTCCTGATGGTTCACAACTGTCACACTAAAGTGCTAATTCAGTGCAGGTGCCAGGGAGAGGCAACTTCCCAAACAGATAAAAACACTTCTGGCCGGGCGCGGTGGCTCATGCCTGTAATCCCAGCACTTCGGGAGGCCGACGCGGGCGGATCACGAGGCCAGGAGATCGAGACCATCCTTGCTAACACGGTGAAACCCCGTCTCTATTAAAAATACAAAAAATTAGCCGGGTGTGGTGGCGGGCGCCTGTAGTCCCGGCTACTCGGGAGGCTGAGGCAGGAGAATGGCATGAACCCGGGAGGCGGAGCTTGCAGTGAGTTAAAATCGTGCCACTGCACTCCAGCCTGGGTGACAGAGTGAGACTCTGTCTCAAAAAAAAAAAAAAAAAAAAGAAAAAGAAAAAGAAAAACACTTCCTAAACACACTGCACATGCTCACTTCCCAAGCATAAGAAGGACACTGCCCATATGGGCATCCCACCCTAAGGGAAGAATCTCTGAAATCATGGGAAAGGGGTGCAAGACACTGGGAGTGGGCCAACATATAAAGTCCGAGAATCAAGGTTAAATGCCACACTTCTCCTTGAAGTTGATCACTTGGGCCTCTTCCAAGTGTACTTTCCTTTCTATCCTGCTCTAGAGCTTTTAAAAATAAACTTCCTCTCTTGCTTTGAAACTTGCTTCAGGCTGTTTTTATGCCCTATGCTCCTTAGTCAAATTATTTCTTCTGAGGAGGCAAGAATTGAGGTTGTTGCAGACTCATGGATTTCACACTGGTAACTCGAATACCTTCTACTCCTAACACTATCAGGAATATTTTGACTGGGTATATGGCATTCTGTAAGTGCAAGGATATTTTTGATAGAAGCATTGTGTTCAGGGAAGACAAATCTATACCCAGAGTAAGCATTTTTATCAGTAAGAACAAAGTGCTAACATTTCCATAATGAGAGTAGTCCAGTGTAATCAATCTGCTACCAAGCTGGCGCATCATCCTGGTAAATGGTGCCCTATTAGATTCTCAGTGTTCTATGCTGCTGGCATATTGGGCGCTTGGAAGTGGCTGTAACCAGGTTAGCTTTGGTCAGTGGAAGTCCATTTTGCTGAGCTCATACAATACTTTCATCCCTGCCACCACGGCCACTTTGTTGATGAGCCTATTGGGCAATGACAGCAGTGTCTGAGAACAGAGGCTGACTTGTATTCATAGAATGGGTCATTAAATCCCTTGATTATTAAAATCCTCTTTTTCCAAGGTCACTCTTTGGTAAGCATTCCTATGAAATACAAATATTTTTATGCATTTTTCCCATTCAGAGAAGATTATTCGCATACCTCTTTCTCAGACTTCACAAATTTTTCCAATCATGTTCCTTCTAATTTCATGATCATACAGCCAGTCTACTGGCTAGAACCCATGAATAAATATGCAATCACATGAAAGTGCATTTCTTATCCCAGGAAAAGTGAACAATCAGGCACACTGCCCAAAGTTTTACTCACTGTGAGGATTGTCTTTCATCTTCTCCTTCAGGGATGTCTTAGAAAAGGGCTATACTGTTGCAGCTGCCCACTTTTGGTTGATACTTACATATTGCTCAGAATCACCCGTAAAGCAGCCCAAGTTTTCTCTTCCTCAATCAGCTGATTGTAGAAAACTCCAATCAAACATAGGTATTGGATGGAATAGAGAAGGTAATGTAGCAAGAATAGGGACTATGGACATTTGGATCATGTTTTATGTAACTTAATTATGCCTTCAGGGCCTGCGTATATTATTTACAGTTTATGATGGAAAGCTTAGATTCCATGAAAACTTATAGGTTCATGGTTAAGTATTCAGTTTCCACTAAGGGCCATTAGCAAGCCAAAACTATTTCCCAAATGGTGCTAACACTATTAATGTGGAAAAAATAATCCTTTCAACAAATAGACTTAAAACCTAAATGTAAGTTCTAAAACTAAACTTTTAGTAGAAGCATAGGGGTGATTCTTTGTGACCTTGGATTTGGCAATAGATTCTTAGGTATGACAAGAAAAACACAAGAAACAAAAGGAAAAATTAGATAAATTGCATTTTATCAAAATTAAAAATTTCTATGCTTCAAAGGACACTACAAAGTTAAAAAAAGCCTACAAAATAGCACAAAATATTTTTGGTCACGCATTTGACAAAGGATTTATATTTTAATATGTAAAGAATACGTACAACTAAATAACAAAAGGACAACTCAATTAAAATTTGGGCAAAGGACCTGGATAAATATTTCTCCAAAAAAGATGACACAAATGGTCAATAAGATTTAGTCATCAGGTAAATGCAAATCAAAACCACAGTGAGATGCTACATTACACTCACTGCAATTTCTATATACAAAAAGTCAGATAGCACCACATGTTAACAAGAACATTGATAAAGAAGACCCTCATACACTGATGATGGGGAATATAAAAGGTGCAGCCACTTTTGAAAATAGTCTGGGAGTCCTCAAATTGTTATCTATAGTGTTACCATGTGATCCAGCAATTCCACACTTAGCTGTAAACCCAAGATAAATGAATATATATATATATATATATAATCACACATGTTTATAGCAGTATTAACAATATTCAATGATGTAAATAGACCAAATATATATCAACTGACAAATAAACAAAATTTGCCACATCCATACATTGGAATATTATTTGGTCATAAATATGGAATGGACTACTAATATAGGTTACAATGTGGATTAACCTTGGAAACATTATTCAAAATGAAATAATTATCTTACAGAAGACCACATATTGTATGATACTGCTAATAGAAAATGTCTACCATAGACAAATCTAGAGAGGCAAAAAGTAGTTACTGTTTGCTTAGAGCTGGGAACTAAGGTGTAATAGCTAAAAGGTATAGGCCTTTTTTCTGATGTGGTAAAAGTCATCTAAAATTGATTGTATACTTTATCACGTGTGAATTATATTGCAATAAAGGATTGACAAAACAGTATTTTGGAATTTTAAAAATATAAATATGTTTGCTTCTCTTTGAAAATCAGATCTTATAGTTTTACAACACCAAGAAATAAAAATTATGGTAAACATAATATTACAGATTATTTTCACATATTTGTTCATAGCATTCCTCTTTAGTCTTTTATTCTCTAAAGTCAGTAGTAATATCCTCTCTTTTGTTTTGGAATCTAGTAATTTTCTTTCTTCTTCATCTATATATTTATTAGCTTCCCAATTTATTTAACTTTTTAAATAAACTAGCTATTGAATTCTTTGATTTTTATCTAATTTTGCATTCTCTTTTTTCATTTCTGCTTTAACTTTTATTTTTTATTACTTCTGCTTGATTTATATTTTATTTTCTTTTTCTAGTGTCATAATGTGGAAAGTTAGGTGACTAATTTGAGAGCTTTGTGTTTATTTTAAGATAAGAATTTACTATTATAAATTTCCCTTTAAATACTGCTTTAACCATGTACAATAAGTATTATGTTATACCTTCAATTTTTTACATATCTAAGTATTTTATAATTTTGTTTTCAATTTCTTCTTTTACCTGTTTGTTATTTCAAAGTGTGTTGTTTAATTTCCATATAAGAGAGCTTTCAAAACTTCTTCTTTTATAGATTTTTAAATTTCATTCAATTGTGGTCATAGAACTTTTTTATATTAATTTAATCCATTAAAATTTATGGAAGCTTATTTAATGACTTATCATAAGGCCTATTCTAAGAATGTCCTGTGTGCCCTTGAGAAAGATGTGTATTCTTCTGTTTTTAAGTGTTCGATAAATGTCTGTTAGTTCCATTTGGTTTATCATGTTGTTCAAGTATTGTTTCCTTGTTTGTCATCTGCCTAGTTGTTCTATTCATTATTGAATGTCGGGTATTAAAATATCCATCTATTATGGGGAGAAATGGCTAATTCTCCCTTTACTTGGGTTAGTTTTTGTTTTATGCATTTTTAAATTCCTTTTGCTTTCATTCTTAAAGGATAATTTTTTGGATATAGGGTTCTTGTTCAATAGGCTTTTTTTTAGACTCTGCATATGTGATCCCACTGCCTTCTGCTCTTCATCGTTCCTTATAAAAAGCCAGCGCTTTTCATCTTTTTGGGGATTTCTTGTAAGTAATGAGTTATTGTTCTCTGATGCTTTACAGATTTTGTCTTTGGCTTTCAGCATTTTTACCATAATGTGTTGATTTGTGGATTTTTTGGTATTTATCCTACTTGGAGTTTGTTGAGATTCCTGTTTATGTAGATTAAAGCTTTTCAATAAATTTCAGAAATTTTTGGTCATTAATTTTTGGAATGACTTTTCTTCTCTTTTTTTTTTCCTTTTTTTTGGTATTCGCAATATGTGTATGTTGGACTATTTAATGCTGTCCCACATTTCTGGGAGTCTCTGCTCATTTTCGTGAATTGTTCATTCTTGTTTACCCTGTTATTTTCATTGCATTATCTCTATTAATTTACCTTTAAATCTGTGAATTATTTTTATGTCAGCTTATATCTACCCTTTATTCCTTTTAATAAATAATTTATTGGTTATTTTATTTTTAAAATCCATAATTTGTATTATTTTATATATAATTTTCTCCCCTTTATGATATTGTTTGATGAAATATTGTCATCATACATTGAAGTACTTTTAAAATCACGTATACATTGAAGTCTGTCAAATATGATATTCACCCATTTTCATAGGCAGTTTCTGTTGCTTGCATTCTTTCCAGTGCATGCATCATATATTTCTGTTTCTTTACATGCCTCATAACTTATTTCTCAGGAAGTGGAAATATGAGGTAATATATTCTAGCAACTCTGAGTCTTGGTGTCCCCACTCCAGAGTGTGTTATCTTTATTGGTTTGTTAATCTGTTTAGTAACTGGCAGGATTATTTTGATGAATTCTCTTCATCCCCACATAAGCTGAAGGCTACAATGATGCTCCTCAGAGGATCCTGCTTTGGACATGCCCATAGTCATCCTGAAAAGACAATGGGATTGGAAGACCTCTCTTTGTGTTTTTCACTGACCATACTGACCTATTAAACTCCATAAAATGCCAGCTGATTCTTTTATTTTTTTTTAATCAATGCTTTGGGACATAAATTGCTTCATAGATGATAAAAATGAATCATGTTTTTTTTTCTTTTAAGAGACGGTTTTCAAGGTCAGTTTTTGAGATTTGTTCTGATTCAGAAAGGCTCTCCTTAGCTATCTCTTTTCTTGGTTCTTTCTGAAAAACTAGCCCCTTACAGTTTAGCATACATACCCAATGAATCTTATTTTTTACCATAACCTCCATTGTTTTTGAGACCATTAGGCTTGAAATTCTCCACACCTTTCTGCAAATGAAGTCTGTTTTTTTGGGGAAGTGACCCAGAGTTTCCTATTTTATAGCCTGTTTCTTTCCCAGGAAAAACTTTGGAGTCACAGATCTGGACATGAAGTTGGGTATGATAGCATGCTTCTCTCTGTTTAAGAGGTGAAGCTCATTCAAGGAAGTGGGATAGCTTCAGTTTATCTTGACTTGCTTCTCCCCACATAGAACCTCTACTATATGAGCCAAGGATAAGGCAGTTAGGGGCCTAGTATTCTCTGCAGCCCCACACCTGAAGTACAATTCCTGTCCCACATATCTAAGCTAAGTTAAAACACCCACCACTTTCCTGCAGTTGTCTAGAATGTAGACTCAACAACAGGTATCTAGAGTAAGGATGAGAAATGCTAACATCCTGTTCCTCCCAGGAAGACAGCCCTCTAGCAGAGAGATCACTGTGCTTTTGCCTGCAGTAGACTGAAATGGAGATTTTCTCTTGGTGAGCTGGGAAGTAGAAAGGAGTTGATGAATCTGTAACTAGCAGGTGGGTCTGCAGCTATCTGGAGGAGCTCTGGATTGGCAACTCTGCAGCAATCCCAGTCCATTTTCTTCTTGAAGAAAATAATTCAGACAAGAGACACAGGCAAAGTTTCAATCAGGAGGGATAATTTACTTCAAGCAAAGTAAGAGTTTATTAGAGAAAGCAGAGTGCACTTAGATGAGGGACAAGTGGGTGACTTAAAAAATCAAGTACCTTGTTTGCTTCTTTGTTTAGAGTTTTTATACCCCCTATCTTTTCCCATGCTCTGTCTGCTCCCTTTGTTCTTTCTTTGGGTGGTCTGTTGCTTAATTGTCACATGACAATGGCCTGCCAGCACTTGGGAGGGGCCATATGCACAGTGTGCTTACTGAAGTCATGTACATGCTCATTAGGGACAATTGTTCCTTACTGGTTAAGTGCCCCAAGAGGAGAGTCAGGTAGTAATAAAATTCTACCACCTTCCTCTTTTACTGCACATGCTTGAAACATTATCAGGAATTATGGCTAGCTATTTCCAGTTGTTCTCCATCTGTTGCAAGACTCCTCTCATTCCCAGTGCCAGTCATGGCTACTTATTATGAGTCAGACAACTCATAATAAGCTGATGAGAACCAGACAGCTCTGGGGTTCCTCCCTTGTCCTGCTCATCATTTCAGAGGGACAGATTTATAATTGCCTGACCACGGCTTGACAAAGGCCTAACATTCACGTGGGGAGCTTCTGTCCTGTCCTGCTCATGCCTAACTACTTACTCTTACATGGGCCTCCCTCAAACATCTGGGACCCAATTCTTTAGGGCAATGGATGATTGTTTTCCATAACTACTTCTTGGTGACAGAGTGGTGGGGATCATCCCATGGGTCTCAGCATCTTGCTAGCTGTTAGGGAAGTGTGACTCCATTCATAGGCTGGCAAAAGTGGTGTCCAACCAAATACAGGGAAGACAGAGGCATGTTTTTGTACCTGTCTAAAGATAGAGGTGAATATCTCTGTAGCATTAGAAGCTTGGTCTGAAATTGCTGGATTTTAGAAGAAATGATAAGGGTGAGGGTGTTAAGCAGGCATGGGGTCAAATGGCAAATTAATATAAACATAACTATAGGAGGAAGGATTGAGGCTGTCCATGGCCATATACAACTGGCAAATATTTTAAAGATCTGGACTAGAAAAGAGCCTTAGGGTTCTACTTTTTGGAGGTTTTTCTATATTTTAATATTCTCCTTTAACTTTCGCAAGCTCTCTTCACCTTGGGCAAGATGGAATGCCCCTAGATTGATACTAGAAGAGATTGCCATGGGCTATGTAGATGTCTGGGGATATACAGTCTATGGTTCAAGTTCCAGTTTAGCTAGGGGGGAGGCCCTGGTGAACTTATTGGCTGCAAATATAGAATGCATCTCAGGTTTTAAGACAAGTAGAGATGACAAAACAAAATAAAGATCTGACTTCTTTTTAGCATAGCTGGGGGCATGGCTAACTCCATATGTTCTCAGGTCTTGCCTAGAATTTAATGGCTTTAAAGCAGGCAAGTTGTACTGTTATTAAGAGTCACTGTATCAGTTTATGACTTTAAAGAATTTTGTAGACCTAATAACCTTTAAAATTGTTTTCATTTACCAAAGATTATTAAAGTCATGTGAACTAAAAGGCATTAAAGTTTTTCTCACAACCAAAAACCTTATAAAGACAACATAGTGAATATAAAATCTTGTTTTTAAAAAGTCAGTTGCTGAAAAGGCAAAGAAAAACCTTTTGCAGTGTGACTGTTTTTCCTTATGGAAAGCCCAATCAGATAACCTGAAAGTTAAATTTGGTGAAAAGTGTTTGAATTTAATTAGATACAGCAAGAGTATGTTCAAAATATTAGTACAGCAGAATACATGACTCTTAGGAATAGCATGAGAAGTTTTTTGGTTACGTTGAAAATGTAGACATATTAACAAAAGTCAAGAGTACAGAATTCAGTTATATTGGATAAAAACATTGCTTTTTTAGGTAAAACAATTTAGCATCGGGCCATATATGATTCTGGGGAATCGTTAAAAGAAACGGTTTATGAAATAAAAATTAAAACATCTTGTAATTTTATTAAGAGCAGATTAATACTTTAAGACAACCTTTTTTTAACATAGGAAACCAATTTTAAAGAGACTAATTATGCCTTAATTACATACAACATTCCTTTTATAAATTTCCTTTCACAAATTTTTTATGAATTACATAGACCATCTACGACATGCATGGACTTTATAACCTGTCCTAAACATCTTTCTTTTTTAAACAACCAGTTATTTTACTTTAGGACAAGAATTTACCATGCAAGATCTTTTCTTATACAAAAATCTCTTTTCTTTATAACCTTCCTTATTAAAACTACCTCTTTACTTTCATAAAGTTTGAATTAGACAAAAGTCATTTTCCTTCTGTTAGGAAGTTATGGTTTGTACTACATGTTGCCAATCAAGTCCTTTGAACAGGGAGCAGATAAGGAGGTTATCTACACACTGTTATCCCCCCTCAAGCGATTACTTGGTTAGATTTCTTGCTAGGGTTTGTTTGAATACATGTGGGCTATTTTTAAACTCCTGAAGTGGGACTGTCCAGGTTGAAGTTATTGGTTAAAGATTTATGTAGTTTTCCCAGGAAAAACAATATTAGAGGGAAAGATAAATTTAGAGGTTGGGTGAATATTAATCAGGCACCCATCATGGACATATATTTTTGCCCAAAGGTGTGTGGGGCATTTAGGCATTACCAGGGAATAGTGAGAGATTAATAATTGGTCCCTTAACTAATATAAAGGGGTGAGAATATTTTCTTTTGGAGGTAGCAGCTGCCATTTGCTCATATTACCCAACAGGATTTGGAGGAGAGTTTCTTAGAGCTGGAGATTAGCAAAGTAGGCAGCTCTTGAACCCAAAAGGGAAATTTATAATTTTTTTTTTTTTTTGAGACAGAGTCTCACTCTGTTGCCCAGGCTGGAGTGCAATTGTGCAATCTTGGCTCACAGCAACCTCCACCTCCTCGGTTCAAGCGACTTTCTTGCCTTAGCCTCCTGAGTAGCTGCAATTACAGGTGCATGCCACCATGCCCGGCTACTTTTTGTATTTTTAATAGAGACGGGGTTTCATCACATTAGCCAGGCTGGTCTGGAACTCCTGACCTCAAATGATCCTCCTGCCTTGGCATCCCAAAGTGCTGGGATTACAGGCTTGAGCCACCATGCCCAGCCTGGAAATTTATAATTTTATTTGCCACCTCCAGAATTGCCCTTGGCTTTGTCCTGTAAATGATGGTGTCTGATTTGGGAGCTGGCTGGAGCAGAGGGCCCCTTCAGCTTAAGGCCCTTATTGGATTGGGATCTGGCCCAAGGTCCCTTTTGGCTCTCAAGACATTCCTTTTTCCAGTAGTCAAGTTTGTGGTAGAGGGAGCAGACCTTGTGGGGATTTTTCCCATTTAGCCCATTGGGGCAGTTTACTTTCCAGTGGCCTTGCTTTTTGCACAGATGGAAGTTTTCTGTCAGAATGTCCTGAGGGCAACCTGGAGAGGGCTAGAGGGCTTGTACAGTACCCAATAGTTGAGCCTGCCTCTTGTCCCTGCAGGTTTCCTTCTCTTTAGCCTTATCCTTCTTATTTTGCTCTTGGTTATAAAAGGCTGCAGAGGCTAACTTGAGGATCTCCTACATAGGGGGTCTGGGGTTTTAGGCTGGCTTTTGTAATTTTTTCCAGTTTATTTTAGGCCAAACTGTATTACAAATTAAAGCTAGTTTTTCCTTGTTATTATACGGTTTTAGGGAATCACATTTTTCAATTCCTTAAGGATGCATCCAAGGGGTATGTCCTGTGGTATGGAGATGCAATTACCCAACTGTGAAGAGAGAATAGAGGAGAAAAAGGAAAAAGTAGGTGGCCCCTCTTATATCCTTATTATCTTTTCCTGAACAGAGCATCCCCCATTTGTATTTGAAGTTCTTGAATAAACCCATCTCACCAGGTACCCTTAATCTTGGTGCCATATCATCTTATGGAGGCACAATTACCCACTACAGAACAGAGGGTATATGGGAATGAACAAGGGCCCTCTATTTATCCTTTGGGCCCCAGAATAAACTGGTGTTACTGAGTACCACAAACCTTTTCTTCATCTCTGTTTTAATGGTAATCTGTTCTGTGCTGTAGCCTGGGACCAGCCTTCACCTCTCTTCTATGGGTACTTTGGTATCTTGCACCTGCAGCCATGGGTGGGCGTATATCCCTGCCTCCCTTACCTTGCAGTGACCCCCATCTGGAGCATCTTAACAATTAAATGATGATTTCCCATCCTCTCATGCTTCCATTCCCCAGGTCCTTTTAGGTAGATGTCCTATTCCCTTTCAAGCTCCAAAGAGGCTGGGCTTTTTTTTTTTTTTTTTTGTACGTAGGCTTGGAGATCTTTCTGCATTTTGAGAATGACATGGAGAGGTTCAGAAGAAGGTAGGAAAATTCCATCCTCTGTTAGCAACATGAAAAAGAAGTGTTTAAACAATCAGGACAATCACTGTCTAACAGGTGGATAGGTAAGGAAGCCTGGTGGATATTCATGGAAAGCCCTTGTGCTTTCACAGAAACAGCAGCCTCTGGTCCCTAGTGGGCAGTGCTTGTTCGCATTTTTGATAAAAAGGAGAAACCTCTGGAGAACCAGGGAGTTTGGAATAAAGAGTCTTACTAGGTGCAGGAAAAATGTTCTCTTTTCCCAAAAAGGAACTACCCCCAGAATTGAGGTAGGGGGTGTCCTTAAAGGACCACAATTGGAGGCTATGTCAAAGTGGATAAACCTCTTTAAGGACCAGCAGAATACTAATTCCTGGAGCTTGCTGGGGATAAAGAATGGTAAGTAAAGATAGTAAGTAATCAGTAGTTGATAGAGCCAGGGCTCTGAGAAGTGCTTATTTTGACAGTGAGCCAAGAGGCAGGGGATAGGCTGGAGATCATCCAGACTGGAGGGATAAAAGCAAGTGTAGATATCAAGGGACACCAGTAAAGGTGTCTGCCTCTTGGCTGCCAGGAAGACACAGCAAAGGCCACAAGCACACAAATGGCAAACAAGGAGTGTAGGTTTGAAGTAGGAAAATAACTCGCATGGCACACAAAGTGAGAGTGGAAAAGAGGCTGACTTTCCCCTGAGGCAAATAGTTCAGTTAGTGTGCGTGGTCATTTCAGAGGACACATAAAAGAGCACAAGAGAATAGATGACACAGGTGTGGGTTTCGGGAAAGAGTTGATTTTAGTTGAAGGAGAAAAGGGAAGTACCCCAGACATTGCACAGCCCAGGCTTAAACCTGCTACCCTTGCAAGCCTCCTGTCAGGAGAGGCACAGTAGTTGAGGTCTGCAGGGTCTGGAGCCTAAAGTCCACCCACCTCTGGGAATCACCTCCAAGATGAGCTGAGAAATCAGCTGGAGGGAGCAGAGCCGCTGTAGCTAAGGGGAATTGTCCTGCAGAAGAGTTAGTAAGTAGGAGAAAGAAAAAGTGAAGTGAAAAAAAAGAAACAAGTAGAAGGAGGAAAAAGGGGAAAGGAAGGAAAAGAAATGAGTGGGAGACAAAAAGGAAAAAAGAGAAAGGAGGAGAGACCACCTACAAGAGTTTGAATGCTTCTAGCCAAAGAAGGTGAGGCATTGCAGCATCTTACCACTAGATAGCATATCCCAGTATGTTACAACAGTATGTTACCCGCAGGTGAGTCTGCAGCTATCTCTGTCCTTTTTCTTTTCCAAGGAAAGAATTCAAAGGAAACACACATGCTGGAGATAGGCTCCCAAATCTGGCCATAAACTGGCCCCAAAACTGGCCACAAACAAAATCTCTGCAGCACTGTGACATGTTTGTGATGGCCACGATGCCCACGCTGAAGGTTGTGGGTTTACCGGAATGAGGGCAAGGAACACCTGGCCCACCCAGGGCAGAAAACCGCTTAAAGGCATTCTTAAACCACAAACAATAGCACCAGCGATCTGTGCCTTAAGGACATGTTCCTGTTCCAGATAACTAGCCAAAGCCCATCCCTTTGTTTCAGCCCATCCCTTTGTTTCCCGTAAGCAATACTTTTAGTTAATCTATCATCTATAGAAATAATGCTTATCACTGGCTTGCTGTCAATAAATACGTGGGTAAATCTCTGTTCGGGGCTCTCAGCTCTGAAGGCTGTGAGTCCCCTGATTTCCCACTCCACACTCTATATTGCTGTGTGTGTGTCTTTAATTCGTGTGTGTCTTTAATTCCTCTAGTGCCGCTGGGTTGGGTCTCCATGACTGAGCTGGTCTCAGCAGACACAGACAAGGTTTAAAGTAGAAGGGAGAATTCATTTTAAGCAAAATGAGGGTTTGCTTGAGAAACCAGAGTACACTTAGATGAGGGACAAGCACGAAACTTGTAAAAAAAAAATCAAATGCCTCATCCACCTCTTTGTTTAGAGTTTTTATACCCCCTATCTTTTCCTGGGCTCTGTCTCTTCCCTGTTCTTCCCCCTGGGTGAGTTGTCACTTAATTACTGCATGTGCAGTGTCCCTGACAGCACTTGGGAGGGGCCGCATGCACAGTGTGTTTACGGAACTCATACACATGCTCATTTGGGTCAATTCTCCCTTACTGGTCCAATGTCCCCAGAGGAAGGTCATGTACTGGTCAAATCCCATCATCTTGCTTTTTTTTTTAATTATACTTTAAGTTCTAGGGTACATGTGCACAACGTGCAGGTTTGTTACATATGTATACATGTGCCATGTTGGTGTGCTGCACCCATTAACTCGTCATTTACATTAAGTATATCTCCTAATGCTATCCCTCCCCCCTCCCCCCACCCCACAACAGTCCCCGGTGTGTAATGTTCCCCTTCCTGTGTCCATATGTTCTCATTGTTCAATTCCCACCTATGAGTGAGAAAATGCCGTGCTTGATTTTTTGGCCTTGTGATAGTTTGCTGAGAATGACGGTTTCCAGCTTCATCCATGTACCTACAAAGGACATGAATTCATACTTTTTTATGGCTGCATAGTATTCCATGGTGTATATGTGCCACATTTTCTTAATCCAGTCTATCATTGTTGGACATTTGGGTTGGTTCCAAGTCTTTGCTATAGTGAATAGTGCCGCAATAAACATACGTGTGCATGTGTCTTTATAGCAGCATGATTTATAATCCTTTGGGTATATACCCAGTAATGGGATGGCTGGGTCAAATGGTATTTCTAGTTCTAGATCCCTGAGGAATCGCCACACTGTCTTCCACAATGGTTGAACCAGTTTACAGTCCCACCAACAGTGTAAAAGTGTTCCTATTTCTCCACATACTCTCCAGCACCTGTTGTTTCCTGACTTTTTAATGATCGCCATTCTAACTGTTGTGAGATGGTATCTCATTGTGGTTTTGATTTGCATTTCTCTAATGATCAGTGATGATGAGTATTTTTTCATGTGTCTGTTGGCTGCATAAATGTCTTCTTTTGAGAAGTGTCTGTTCATATCCTTTGCCCACTTGTTGATGTGGTTGTTTTTTTCTTGTAAGTTTGTTTGAGTTCTTTGTAGATTCTGGATATTAGCCCTTTGTCAGATGAGTAGATTGCAAAAAATTTCTCCCATTCTGTAGGTTGCCTGTTCACTCTGATGGTAGTTTCTTTTGCTGTGCAGAAGCTCTTTAGTTTAATTGGATCCCATTTGTCAATTTTGGCTTTTGTTGCCATTGCTTTTGGTGTTTTAGACATGAAGTCCTTGCCCATGCCTATATCCTGAATGGTATTGCCCTCATGCTTGAATCTTCATCAGGAATTATGACTTGCTAACTCCAGGTGTCTTCTGTCTGTTGCAAGAATCCTGTCATTCCCGGCACCAGTCATGGCCACTTATTATCTCAGAGGAACAGTTTTATGCCTACCTCTTTTTCACTCAATGGAAACCAGACAGTTCTGGAGTTCCTCCCTTGTCCTGCTCATCATTTCAGAGGGACATTTATAATTGCCTGACCATGGCTTGACAAATGCCCAACATTCTTGGGTCGGGGGGTGGAGGAGAAGGGGGCAGGGTGGGGGCTCTTTCCTACCCTATTCTTGTCTGACTACATACTTTAACAGATGTATTAGATTGGCACAAAAGTAATTGCGGTTTTTGCCATTGAAAGTAACAGCAAAAACCGCAGTTACTTTTGAGCCAACCTAATAGCTCAAATACCACAGATTTTATCTGTTCTTACTGTTTTAGTAGATATTCTCAAATAAATGTTTCTTCCTTTCCCGTATACCTTTAAGATCAATTCTAGAGACCTTAAATGTTTTATTTTTAAAAAAGAATAATTTTTACCAGTTTTCTGTACAGTGAGTTTGCAGTACTCCTCATACTGTCATGGTAGTAGTGAAACTCATGGTGCACATTTTAAATAGAAATTTTTCTATACCTATTAACAACGTATAAGTATAGAGCAGTTCCAGTTCAAGATAATTGACTAGAAGCTGCTAGCATGTGTGACTGTCACAGAGAGGAAACAAAGTGGTGAGTAAATACCTGCTCTTCAAGTGGATCATCTAAGAGATCCTGTTGGGATTCACCAAGGAAGTGTAAACCCAGAAAATCTGAGACAGGTCTCAGTTAATTTAGAAAGTTTATTTTGCCAGGGTTGAGGATGCACACCCGTGACACAGCCACAGGAAGTCCTGACATGTGCCCAAGGTGGTCAGGGCACAGCTTGGTTTTACAGATTTTAGGTTTAGTATATGAGACATGAACTAATATGTGTAAGAAGCACATTAGCTCCACCCAGAAAGGCAAGGACAAACTCAAAGCAAGGAGGGGCTTCCAGGTCACAGGTGGGTAAGAGAAAATGGTTGCATTCTTTTGAGTTTCTAATAAGCCTTTCCAAAGGAGGCAATCAGAATATGCATCTATCTCAGTGAGCAGAGGGATGACTTTGAATAGAGTGGGAGACAGGTTTGCCCTGCGCAGTTTCTAGCTTGAATTTTCCTTTTAGCTTAGTAATTTGGGAGGCCCAAGATATTTTGCTTTCACAGAAGCAATAGGACCCATGGGAAAAAAAGAAAGGAGCAAAGCCAGGCAGCCCTTTCCCCAAATTAAGGAGCTTCGCCTGGCTCTACACCGGTCCCACACCTCACTTCCACTGCTTCCTGCCAAACAGGGCCTGATGCCTTCTGGCACATAGTGCACTCACCTGCCCGTGCCTGAGCATTTCAGCTGCACCCTAGAGCCCTTCTGGAAACCCTACCCCCACACAGCTGTGATACTTCCTCAGGCTCCTACCATACAAGCATCATGCCTGTACCTGCCTGAGAGTTTTACCAGTGACCTGGGGACCAGCCCACCCTTCCCCATCACACCCAGCACCTGAACACTGGGCAATTCTGACCCTGGTTCAGCCTCTTCAGGATTTGTAAACAGTGGCAAGGGTGCCATCTAGGGACCTAGGAACTAGGGAAGTACCTACCCCATTCCAACTCTGCTGTCACTTCTCCACTTCCCCCAGGGCCTGAGGTCAGGCTGACCCAACCCGCAGATACCACCACAACCAACACCCACTTGCAAAAGCCCAAAGTTGGAGCCCTCCCTCTTACATGAAGCACCAGAGCTAAGATATCAGAGAACAGATGGGGCATAATGCTATCTGTATCAGGCCGAGTGACAAAATTCTGCCCCAACACCACTCCCTTGAGAGTGACAAAACAAGCCTTTCCCAAGGCTTTCAATCACACTGTGGTCCAAAGATAGACTACAGTGTGCATCTGATCTAGAAGTCATGAACCTCAGAACAGGAATGGGATAGGGAAATAGCCCATGTTTCTGTCTATCTAGGATGGGGAGCCAGTGAAACCCCCTCACCTTCCTGCAGAGACCTCAGCACATTTCACCAGGAGCTCCACCCAGCCCCCCTGGTCAGGGCTGGTGCCTGTGCATACAATAAGGGTATTCATGGGCAAGACAGGGGCTTCAGCTCTTCCGAGATATGTGCCCCAACCCCTGCAAAACAGGAAACTCAGGGCACTGGGCACCCCATTGTCTAGCCCATCACCTGAAATAATAGAGAGCACCTCGGAGTAAACAAAGATTAGGTATTTACTGATCTGCTTATGTTGCAGGTGGCTCTTACCCATAATCACCATCTACTGGCCCTATAGGTTGAACTGCACAGCCCAATATAAAGCCCTCCAACACAAGTGCATAGGGTTATGGAAGCATAGCCAAATGAGCCTACTTAACATATTATACAGTCATACTTAACATATTATACAGACACACCCATGTTTTGGGGGAGGTTAAAGGAAAAATTATGTAGGGAAAGGAATAAAAATCCTTTCCATATGAAAATAATTACAAAAATTAGAAGTGTCAGCATTTCCAGGTGAGAAAGAATCAGGTTAATCATTCTGGCATCATAAAAACCTAAATGTTGTGACACCACCAAAGGATTGCACTAGTTCTCTAGCAATGATCCCTAACCAAAATGGAAACTCACAAATGATAAAGAATTCAAATCATGGATTTCAAGAAAGCTCAATAAGATTCAGATCAAGGTTGAAAATCAACACAAAGAAAGTAATAAAGCAATGCAGAAAATGATGAAAGAGATAAGCATCTTAAAAAGTAATCAGAGCTTCTGAAATAGAAAAATTCACTCAAGGAATTTCAAAATACAATCGAAAGCTTTATTGAGAGATATGACCAAGCAGAATAAAGAATTTCAGAGGTTGAAGAGAAGTCTTTCAAACTAAGTATTTCCAGTCAGAAATAAAAACTAAAAATAAAAATGAAAGCTTTGAGGAATATAAGGTTATGCATAGTAACCAAACCTATAAATTATTGGCATTCCTGAGAGGAAAGAAGAAAAAGTAAACAACCTATAAAACGTATTTGAGGAAATAAGTCAAGAAAATTTTCCTAATCTTCCTAGAGAGGTAGACATTCAGATACAAGAAATAAAGAGAACACATGCAAGATACTACCCAAAATAAACGTCACCAAGGCATAAGTCACCAGACTATCCAAGTTTAACCCCAAAGAAAAAAATCTTAAAGACACCTTGAGAAAATGATCAGATCACTTACAAAGGGAACCTCATCAGGCTGCTAGTAGATTCTCAGAAGAAACTTTACAAGCCAGAAGAGATGGGAGCCTATTCTCAGCATTCTTAAAAAAAAGAAATTCTGACCAAGAATTTCATACCTTGCCAAACTAAGCTTCATAAGCAAAGAAGAAATAAAATATTTTCCTGAGAAGCAATTGCTAAGGTAATTTGTTACCAGCAGACTAGCCTTACAAGAAATAATGGAGTGGTAAACATGGAAGAGAATGATACCTGATATCAAAAACACACACTTAAGTACATAGCTCACAGACCCAATAAAACAACTACACAATGGAGACTACAAGGCAACAAACTGACAGCTTCATGATAGGATGAAAACCACACATATCAATATTAACTTTGAATGTCAATTGTCTACACTTCCCAATTAAAAGTTTCAGAGTGGCAAATTGGATTTTAAAAAAGACCCATCCATCTTTTATCTTCAAGACACCCCTCTCACTTGTAATGATACTAATTGGTTCAAAGACAGGGTTGGAGGAGGATATATCATGTGAATGGAAAACAAAAAAAGGGTGAGTCATCATTATTATATCAAATAAAACAGACCTTAAACCAACGACAGTAAAAAAGGACAAAGAAGGACATTACATAATGATAATGAATTCATTTCAACATGAAGATAAACTATCCTAAACATATAAGCACCCAACACTGAAGCATCCAGATTAATAAAACAGGTATTTCTAGACCTACAAAAAGACAGCCACACAATAATATTGGGGACTCCTCACTGACAACGCTAGACAGATGATCAAAGCAGAAAGCTAACAACGAAATTCTGGACTTAAATTTGACCCTTGACTAATTGGACATAATATACATCTACAGAATTCTTCACCCATCAAATACAGAATATGCATGCTTCTCATGTGCACATGGAACATATTGTAAGATTTCCAACATTCTTTGCCATAAAGCAAGTAAGTCTCAGTAAATTCAAAAAAATGAAATTATACCAATCATACTCTTGGAACACATTGGGGTAAAAATAGAAATCAATACCAAGAAGTTCTCTGAAAACCACACAACATGGAAACTAAACAACTTGCTTCTGAATTACTTTTGTGTAAACAACAAAATTAATACAGAAATAAAAAAAATCTTTGAAATAAGTGAAAACAGAGACATGAAATACCAAAATTTCTTGGATGCAGCAAATGCAGTGTTAACAGGAAAATTCAGAGGGCTTAATCCCTACATCAAGTTAGAACGATCTCAAATTAACAACATAACATTACACCCAGAGGGACTTAAAAACAGGAACAAACTAACCACATGGCTAGCAGAAGAAAAAAAATTAAAAACAGGGCAGGATTGAATGAAATTGACACCCAAATATTCATACAAAGGATCAACAAAACCAGAAGTTGGATCTTTGAAAGGATAAAAATGATCTATAGTCTGTTAGTTAGATTAACAAAGAAAAAAAGAGAGAAGTTCCAAATAAGCACATTCAGAAATGACAAAGGTGATATCGCAAATGATCCCACAGAAATGCAAAAGATTCTTGGAGAGTAATATGAACATCTCTATGTACACAAATTAGAAAATCTAGAGGAAATAGATAAATTCCTGGAACATTCCATCTCTAGATTAAATCAAGAAGAAACTGAAACCCTGAAGAGGCCAGTATTGAATTCCAATGTTGAAACAATAGTAAAAATCCTACAAGCCCAAAAAAATCCCTGGACTAAATGGATTTACAGCCAAATTTTACCATATATACAAAAAAGAGTTACTATCAATCCTATTGAAACTATTCCAAAAAATAGAGGAGGAAGGACTCCTCCCTAATTCATTCTTTGAAGATAACATCATCCTGATACCAAAATCTGGCAAAGAAATAAGGAAAGAGAAAACTACAGGCCAATATTTCTGATGAACATAGACACAAAAATCCTCAACACCATAACAGTAAATTGAATCCAGCAGCACATCAAAAAGTAAATTCACCAGGATAAAGAAGGCTTCATTCTTGGGATGCAAGCTTGTGTCAATATGCACAAATCAATAAATGCAATTCACCACGTAAACAGAAGGAAACACCAAAACCATATAATAATTTCAATATATGTAATAAAAGCTTTCAATAAAATCCAACATCCCTTCATGATAAAAACCCTCAACAAACAAGGCATTGAAGGAACATATCTTAAAAAAAATAAGAGCCATCTATGAAAAACCGACAGCTAACATCATTCTGAATGGGCAAAACCTGGAATCATTCCACTTGAGAGCTGGAAAAAACACAGATGCCCACTCTCACCACTCCTATTCAAGGTAGTTTTGGAAGTCCTAGCCAGAGAAATCAGGCAAGAGAAAAAAAATAAGGCATCCAAATTGGAAAAAAGAAAGCCAATTATCCCTCCTCACTGATGATACTTTTCTATACCTAGAGACCCCTAAAGACTCTGCCAAAAGGCTCCCAGAACTGATTAACAACTTCAGTTAAGTTTCAGGATACAAAGTCAATGTAGAAAAATCAATAGCATTTATATGTTCCAGTAATGTTCAAGCTAAGAGCCAAAGAAAGAACATAATCTCATTTACATTAGTCAGAGAAAAATAAAATACCTAGGAATATATTTAACCTAGGAGGTGAAAGATCTCTACAAAAAGAACTACAAAACACTGCTGAAATAAATCACAGATGATACAAACAAATGAGAATACATTCTGTGCTCACAGATTGGAAGAGTCAATATAATGGCCACACTGCCCAAATAAATGTACAGATTCAATGTTTGATATGATTTTGATGTTTTGTCTTTTTCAAATCTCATGTTGAAATGTGATTCCCAATGTTGGAGGTGGAACCTAGTGGGAGGTGCTTGGGTCATGGAGGAGGATCCCTCATAAATGGCTTGGTTCTGTCTTTGAGGTACGAGGGAGTTCTCATCCTATTAGTTCATGCAAGATGTGATTGTTTAAAAGAGAATAGCACCTCCACCTCTCTCCCTTTCTCCCTCTCTTTCCATGTGATATACCAGCTCCCCCTTTGCCTTCTGCTATAGTTGTAAGCTTCCTGAAACCTCACCAGAAACAAGCCAGGACCATACTTCTTGTACAGTGCAGAAACGTCATCTAAAATAAACTGATTTTCTTTACAAATTACCCAGCCTTTGGTATTTCTTTATACCAACACAAGAGCAGACTAACACAATGCTATTGCTATCAAACTACTGACATTTTCTTCATTATTTTTTATAGAATTAAAAGACACATTTTACAATTCTTATGGAACTAATAAAAGAGCCCTGATAGCCAAAGCAATCCTAAGCAGAAAGAGCAAAGCCATAGCCATTACATTGTCAAGCTTGAAACTATACTATGCGGTTACAGTAATCAAAAGAGTAAGGCACTGGTAAAAAAACAGATACATAGACCAATGTAACAGAATAAAGAGCCCAGAAGTCAAGCCACACACCTACAACCAAATGATTTTTAACAGTCAACAAAAATAAGCAATGGTGAAAGGACCCACTATTCAATAAATTGTGCTTGGATACCTGACAAGCTATATGCAGAAGATTGAAGCTGAATGCCTACTGTTAACCATATTGAGAGGTGACAGCGTGTTGGCAGTCCTCAGAGCCTTTGTTTGCTCTCGGCACCTCCTTTGTCTGGGCTCCCACTTTGGCGGCATTTGAGGAGCCTTTCAGCCTACTACTGTACTGTGGCAGCCCCTTTCCAGGCTGGCCAAGGCTGGAGCCTACTCCTTCAGCTTGCAAGGAGGTGTGGAGGGAGAGGCGTGAGCGGGAACTGGGGCTGCGTGCCGCGCTTGCGGGCCAGCTGGAGTTCCGGGTAGGCGTGGGCTTGGTGACCCCGCACTCGGAGCAGCCCGCCAGCCCTGCTGGCCCCGGGCAATAAAGGACTTAGCACCCGGGCCAGCGGCTGCGGAAGGTGTACTAGGTCCCCTAGCAGTGCCAGCCCACCGGCACTGCGCTCGATTTCTCACAGAGCCTTAGCGGCCTTCCCGCAGGGCAGGGCTCAGGACCTGCAGCCCGCCATGCCTGAGCCTCCCACCCACTCCATAGACTCCTGTGTGGCCAGAGCCTCCCCGACGAGCACCACCCCCTGCTCCAGGGTGCCCAGTCCCCTCGACCACCTAAGGGCTGAGGAGTGCGAGCGCATGGCGCTGGACTGGCAGGCAGCTCCACCTGCAGCCCCGGTGCGAGATCCACTAGGTGAAGCCAGCTAGGCTCCTGAGTCTGGTGAGGACCTGGAGAGTCTTTATGTCTAACTCAAGGATTGTAAATACATCAATCGGCACTCTGTATCTAGCTCAAGGTTTGTAAACACACCAATCAGCACCCTGTGTTTAGCTCAAGGTTTGTGAGTGCACCAATCATCACTCTGTATCTAGCTGCTCTGGTGGGGTCTTGGACAACCTTTATGTCTAGCTCAGGGATTGTAAATACACCAATCGGCACTCTGTATCTAGCTCAAGGTTTGTAAACACACCAATCAGCACCCTGTGTTTAGCTCAAGGTTTGTGAGTGCACCAATCGACACTCTGTATCTAGCTGCTCTGGTGGGGCCTTGGAGAACCTGTGTGTGGAAACTCTGTATCTAACTAATCTGATGAGGAGGTGGAGAACCTTTGTATCTAGCTCAGGGATTGTAAACGCACCAATCAGCGCCCTGTCAAAATAGGCCACTCGGCTCTACCAATCAGCAAGATGTAGGTAGGGCCAGATAAGAGAATAAAAGCAGGCTGCCTGAGCCAGCAGTGGCAACCTGCTCAGGTCCTCCTTCCGCACTGTGGAAGCTTTGTTCTTTCACTCTTTGCAATAAATCTTGCTACTGCTCACTCTTTAGGTCCACACTGCTTTTATGAGCTGTAACACTCACCGCGAAAGTCTGCAGCTTCACTCCTAAAGCCAGCGAGACCACGAGCCCACCAGGAGGAACAAACAACTCCAGACGCGCTGTCTTAAGAGCTGTAACACTCACCGCGAAGGTCTGCAACTTCACTCCTGAGCCAGCGAGACCACGAACCCATCAGAAAGAAGAAACTCTGAACACATCCGAACATCAGAAGGAATAAACTCCCGACGTGCCACCTTAAGAGCTGTAACACTCACCGCGAAGGTCCGCGGCTTCATTCTTAAAGTCAGTGAGACCAAGAACCCACCAATTCCGGACACAATATCTAAAAATTAACCCCAAACAGATGAAAGATTTAAATTTAAGACCTTTCAAATTTGAGAACTATAAAAATCCTGGAAGACAATCAAGAAAATACTCTTCTTGACACTACCCTTGATAAAGAATTTTTAGCTAAGTCCCCAAAAGCAATTGCAATGAAAGCAAAAATTGACAAGTGGGACCTAATTAAACTGAAGAGCTTCTGCACAGTAAAATAAACTATCAACAGAGTAAAAAGACAACTTACGGAAGGAGAAAAGATATTTGCAAACTGTTCATGTGACAGAGGTCTAAAATCCAGAATTTATAGGGAATCTATGATGTGGCTTTTTAAACCATATTCATCTTATATGTATTTATAAAATAAAATTTGTAGTTAAGTAAAGATCTTCCATTACCAAAAAAGTAGTTTCTTTTGCAACTAAAATGTGATAACTCTTCATGTATTATAGGAATATTATGCTTTGGGGGTGACAATTTAGATATTTACTTAAAAATATACCAATTTCAACAAACATATCAGGACCACACAAGAATGAATATATTCATAAGCTTGACGTTTTCTATTACATGTATTTCCTTTTAGCTTTTATTTTGAAATATCAAGGTATATTCTTAGTAGGTGCCTTATCATATGTATGTTTCATATTTTTTCAGTTGATTTTTAACTAAGGAGAAATGCAAGTACAAAACTCTTCCATTTTCAGCAGTCACATTATAAAAATGTGAAAGTCTTTCAGAGGAAGAGTGATAATGCATTTATATTCCAGCCATTCTATATTTCTTGGAGAAGAATGTGGATATTTTATGTACACATATTTGAACATTAAAAACTGAAGACCTGTGGTCAACTTAAAGCAAATGAGGGACGCTTGATGTACTTCATGGTACCTCAATTGACTTTCTACAGCAAACTGCGTACTTGCATGCTTGCTTTTATTTACAGGACTTTCACTTCTTGGAACTGTGGCAAACAAGATAGAGTGAGAAATATATATAGGCATACCGTGGAGGTATTATTGGTTTGGTTCCAGACCACCTCAATAAAGTGAAGATTGCAATAAAGCAACTCACACAATTTGTTTGGTTTTGCAGTGCATACAAAAGTTATGTTTAGAGTATACTGCAGTCTATTAAATGTTAAATAGCATTTTGTCTAAAAAAAATACATACTTTAATTAAAAATACTTTATTGCCAGAAAATGCTAACAATGATCTGAGCCTTCAATGAGTCATAATCTTTTTGCTGGAATCTTGCCTTGATGTTGATGGCTGCTGACTGATCAGAGTAGCGGCTGCTGAAGTTTGGGGTGGCTGCAGCAATTTTTAAAAATAAGAGAACAATTAAGTTTGCAGCATTCATTGACACACAAAAACATTTCTCTGCAGCATGAAATGCTGTTGGATTGCATTGCTATTTGATACTGTCTAGTTGAACTTTTCTCAAAATTGGAGTCAATCCTCTCAAACCCTGCCACTGCTTTATCAACTAAGTTTAATATTCTAAATCTCTTATTGGCATTTCAACAATATTCACAGCATCTTCACCAAAATTATATTCCATTTCAAGAAACGATTTTTTTTTGGCTCAAACACAAGAAGAAACTCCTCACCTATTCAAGTTTTATCATGAGATTGCAACAATTCAGTCACATTTTCAGGCTCCACTTCTAATTCCACTTTTCTTGCTGTTTTCACCACATCTGCAGTGACTTCCTCCAGTGAAGTCTTGAACCCCTCAAAGTCATCCTATGAGGGCTGGAACAAGCTTCCTCTGAACCCTTGACAATTTTAATATTTTGACCTACTCCATAAATCATGAATGTTCTTAATGGCATCTATAATGGTTCTTTTCAGAAAGTTTTCAATTTACTTTCCCGAAGTTACTGAGAGATATCACTATCTATGGCAGCTACAGCCTTACAAAATTTATTTCTTAAATAATAAGCCTTGGAGAGTCAAAATCACTCCTTGATGTATGGGCTTCAGAATGGATATTGTGTTAGCAGGCAATAAAGACAACATTAATCTCCTTCCACATCTTTATTGGAGCTTTTCAATAACCATGTTTATTACTGATGAGCAGAAATGTTTTCAAAGAGTTTTTATTTTTCAGGCAGTAGGTCTCAACAGTAGGCTTAAAATATTCAATAAACTGGGCCAGGCACGGTGGCTCATGCCTGTAATCCCAGCACTTTGAGAGGCCGAGGTGGGTGGATCACGAGGTCAGGAGATCGAGACCATCCTGGCTAACACGGTGAAACCCTGTCTCCACTAAAAATATAAAAAATTAGCCAGGCGTGGTGGTGGGTGCCTGTAGTCCCAGCTACTCGGGAGGCTGAGGCAGGAGAATGGCGTGAACCTGGGAGGCGGAGCTTGCAGTGGGCTGAGATCGCGCCACTGCACTCCAGCCTGGGCAACAGTGTGAGACTCTGTCTCAAAAATAATTTAGTAAACTATGCCATAAACAGATGTGCTGTAATCCAGATTTGGTTGATATATTTATAGAGCAAATACAGAGTAGATTTAGCATAATTCTTATAGCCATAAGATTTTGGAATGTTAAATGAGCATTGACTTCAACATAAAGCCACCAGATACGCTATTACCTAACAATATAGTTAACCTGTTCTTTTGAAGCCTTAAAACCAGCCATTGACTTTTCCTCTCTAGTTATAGAAGTCCTAGATGGCAGTAGGACTTTCCAATAGAAGGCTGTTTTATTGACATTGAAAATTTGTTGTTTAATATGGCCTCCTTCATCAATTATCTTAGCTGGATCTTCTGGGTAACTTGCTGTAGCTTCTACATTACCATTTGCTGCTTCACATTATGTTGTTATGTTATAGAGATAGTTTCTTATTTAAAACCTCATGAATCAACCTCTGCTAGCTTCAGACTTTTATTCTGCAGCATCTCCAAATCTCTTAGCCTTCATAGAATTGAAAGAGAATTAGGGTCTTGCTCTGGATTAGGCTTTGGCTTAAAGGAATGATGTGGCTGGTTTGATCTTCCACCCAGATCACTAAAACTTTCTCCATATGAGCAATAAGGCTCTTACACATTTTATCATTTGTGTGTTCACTGGAGTAACATTTTTAATTTTTATCAAGAACTTTTCCTTTGCATTCACAACTTGGCGAGGTGGTTTGGCATAAGGGCCTACATTTCGGTTTATCTGGGCTTTCTGCATGCCTTCCTCATTAAGCTTAATTATGTCTAGCTTTTGATTTAAAGGTAGAGACATCTGACTCTTCCTTTCACTTGAGCACTTACCGGATATTGTAGGGTTCCTAACTGGCCTAATTTTAATATCATTAAGTCCCAGGGAGTACGGATGACCATAGACAGAAAGAGAGAGAGATAGGACAAGGGATGGTTGGTGCAGCAATCAGAAAACACACAGCATTTATTAAGTTTACCATCTTGTATGTGTGTTGTTTGTGACACCCCAAAACAATTACAATAGCAACATCAAATATCAGTGATCACAGGTCACCATAACTCTCATACTCTGGTTCCAGCCCCAGCTGAGGGCTGAGGGGAATGGAAGGTTGTGGGGCAGGGAGCTGGACGAACACTCAAGAGACAGCAGGTAGATGAGACATGGCTTTATTCAGCAGCCCCTCACAGGGTCAGTGTTACTTTTATACATTACACAAACAATAGTAGCTGAGAGCTAAGTGGTCAGCTTCTCTATGTTATGGCTATGGAAGTGAGCTTTCTCCATGTTATGTCTACATGGCTATGGTTATATAAGTCCCGGGACTGTGTGTGTGTGCCACAAACCCACTGCATCATCCAGGTTGTTTACCTCAGCCTATGCCTGCTGCCCTAAGCCTTCTTGGCTGGAGCACAGCCATGTTCTTTACAGTAACAGGTATAATAATAATTAAAAATTGGAAATGCTGGAAGTATAAATCAAAGATAAAATTCTAAGGCTCCCCAACCACCTGAGTGGACTTCCTTCTTGGCCAGGGCATTCTTAAATTTAATCTGAAAGACTGGTTTAGGCCATGATGGGAAGTGGGGTTGGACATGCCTCATTTTGCACCTCCAGAATTAACATCAACACAGAGCTTAAGTCTGATAAGAAACATTTACAATCTATTCTTTCCGAAGCCTGATACCCAGAGGCTTCATCATGCTACCCAGAGACTTTATCAAGGCATGATAAAACCTTGGTCTCCATAACTCCTTATCTTAACCCAGACATTCCTTTCTACTGATAACTCTTTCAACCAATAGCCAATCAGAAAATTTTTAAATCTACTATGACCTAGGATCCCCCTCTCCTTTGAGTTGACCCAGCCTTTCAGGTAGAGCCAATGTAAATCTTACATGTATTGATTAATGTCTCATGTATCCCTAAAATGCATAAAAGCAAGCTGTACCCTGACCACCTTGGGCACATGTCTTCAAGACCTCCTGAGGCTATGTTATGGGTGCGTCCTTAACCTTAGTAAAATAAACATTCTAAATTGATTGAAATCTCTCTTGGATATTTTGGATTCACACAATCATTATCATAATGTGATACAAAGACATAAAGTGAGCACATGCTTTTGGAAAAAGGGCACTGATAAACTTATTGGATGCGGAGTTGCCACAGACCTTCAGTTTCTAAAAAAACACAGTATCAGTGAAGGACAATAAAATGAAGCACAATGAAAAAAAGGCATGCCTGTACTTCAAGAAGTGCATCATCTTGTGGCTCTAGTTGGCTTGTAAATGGAAAGTTCAGCACCTTCTTCTTGGAGAAAAAAATAAAATTGTTTTTATTTTATTTATTTATTTTTTTTTGAGATGGAGTTTCACTCTTTTTGCCCAGGCTGGAGTGCAATGGCACCATCTCGGCTCACTACAACCTCCGCCTCCCAGGTTCAAGCGATTCTTCTGCTTCAGCCTCCTGAGTAGTTGGGATTACAGGTGCGCACCACCAAGCCCAGCTAACTTTGTATTTTTAGTAGAGACAGGGTATCACCATGTTGGCAAGACTGGTCTCAAACTTCTGACGTCAGATGATCCGCCCGCTTCAGCCTCCTAAAGTTCTGGGAATACAGGCATGAGCCACAGCGCCCAGTCTAATAAAATTGTTTTGTTAACGGTCTTGGCTTCAATTTTGTATTCTGTATAATCACTGTTTGCAAAGCTTTACTACCAAAAATAATACTGCTGTCTATGACATTGTTTTCTCTGATCTTAGCTACATAATAAAGAAACTAAGTGAAATTAATGTCAGAGCTATTATCCCTTAATTAAAATGAAGCTTATACAAAGCTTGCAATGGAAAGAGGTGCTGCTATGTTGTTATGTATTGAGTAATCTAATTCTTATCTTCAGGAATCTGAGGATTGACAGTATGTAAATAGGATGTGCAGTCATATTACTTATTCATGAATGAGCCCTTTTGCTATAGTAAGTTGGATATAAATGTTAGTGAGTATAGTGAAAGTATTGTGAAAATTACATTTATTTTTAACTTTGTAATATGGTTTTATTGTTTAAATGAATGCTTCCTGTAGATAAAACTATTCTATTTCTATAGCACTAGAAAATTTACTAAGCTTAGAATGTCATATATGAAAGGATACATTATCCATAGGCTTTCAAGAAAGTCTTGTTTATTGAAACCAACACATATTTTTCGAGTGCACTCATTCCAGTCTTAATATATCTCAATCCATGCTAACTTTGAAATATAGTTCATTTATAGTTTCTCAATTATTAATAGGAGTAAAAAAACTAGTTCTAATAGCCATTTCTAAAATTATGGCTAGAGGTGTAGAATTTTGTCCACTTCTTTGATACTACATCATTATAGGTTGTCTTTGAAAATTTCAGGTTAAGAAATACAATAAAGTGTCTCTTTTCTTTCCAATAAAACAGTTCAACTGTTCAAAATTCAGGTTCAACAGAAATATGGAAATCTAAAAAAAATTTTGCTTAAGCAAATAATTTTATGACTTGCAGCTAAATCTAAGTATTTTAGTGTTATATACTCCATGGAGAAACCTTTATTAATTTGAAGTAAATACAAGGAAATCAGTGTAAGTGCTATGAAAGGTCTAAATTATGGTCTCCTCTCAAGGCATAAAAATATTAGGTATAGGCCTTATGACTCTTTTTATCTCCAGTAGCTAGTATAGTGCTTTGCATATAGGGAGTGTTCATAAATATTTGACGATGTTGAACTTAGTTTCAAAAGATGTCACTGGTGGTCTGCTTAATATGTAAGAAAAATTTCCAATTACGTACACAAAAATGTAACTCAACCGAGGCTTCAAAGATTCTTTATATACACACACACACATATGTGTGTGTGTGTGTGTGTGTGTGTGTGTGTGTGTATCACCTGCAATCTTGGTTTCTCTACTGATTTATATATTTGTAATTGAATGATGACTGTGTTATATAAAATTAATACATTTCCTGGGTAAATTAATACATGCTTTAAAATTTTTTTATTCCCAATAATGAAATATTAAAATCAAACTTAACCTTACAACATATGTGTGTGTGTGTGTGTGTGTGTGTGTGTGTGTCTGTTTCAATGCCATTTAAAATAGCCTGTATTATTATTATTATAAATTTTTGAGACAAAGTCTTGCTTTGTCACCCAGGCTGGAGTGCAGTGGCATGCCATTATGGCTTACTGCAGCCTCGAACTACTGAGCTCAAGCAATTCTCCTACCTCAGGCTCCTGAGTATCTAGGATTACAGGTGTTTGCCATCACACTTGGCTAATTTTTAAAATTTTTTTGCAGAGATAGAGTCTCACTTTGTTTCCTAGGCTGGTCTCTAACTCATGACCTCAAGTGATCCTCCAACATTGGCCACCCAAAGTGCTGGGAAGATAGGCATAAGCCACTACACCTGGCCTATATTACATATTTGTACTTTCTAAAGCAAGTGCTAGGGAGGATGACTGACTAATAGGTCTTTTTCATTAGAATTTTAGTAATCATTGTAAATATCTTCCTTGCTGATATAATAAATAGCATTAGTACTGTTTAATAATTTGATTAATAATGCTTGGAAAGATTTACACATTTTTGCCAAAATGTATTTTTTTTAAATTAACGGTCTTGGCTTTGATTTTGTATTCTGTATAATAACCCTATCTGCTTGCTAAGCTTTACTACCAAAAATAATACTGCTGTCTGTGACACACATAGCTTTCTGTATAGGACTGAAGTGCTGGGTAATTCAGGATCACTTTTAGCTCATCACTGAATTTTTCCAGTAAATTTGGCATAGGCTTCTTTTTCTTTCTAAGTTATTTTTCTAACTATATCTGCAAAACAAATTAAAATTAAATGATAGAGGTTTGGCATGACAGTATTTTTTAACTTCATGTCTAAAAAATAATTATTTTGTTTTATTTGTATCAGTAAATATGGTATTTGAATAGAGTTTCTATCTCTCTCATGGTGAAATAAGCTTTTTAAAAATAGTAGCATTTTACTGTTTTTGGCACTAGTGATGTGTACTTCAGAGTTATAAAGACCAAAGTTCAAATCCTTACTTTATCAGACTGCGTGAATTCAAGCAAATCGCTGTTCATTGCCTCTTTTTTTTTTTTTTTTTTTTTGAGACGGAGTTTACTCTTGTCGCCCAGGCTGGAGTGCAATGGTGCGATTTCAGCTCACTGCAACCTTTGCCTCCCGGGTTCAAGTGACTCTCCTGCCTCAGTCTCCAGAGTAACTCGGATTACAGGCTCCCGCCACACCCCCAGCTAATTTTTATACTTTTAGTAGAGATGGGGTTTCGCCATGTTGGCCAGGCTGGTCTCGAACTCCTGACCTCAGGTGATCCAACCACCTTGGCCTCCCAAACTTTCTATTTTTTAATATATGTAAAGTGTAGTACAATTCATATAGTTATGTTGATGACTAAAGGAGATACAACACACATAAAGCAATAAATATTATGCCATACAAATTGTAAGCATTCATTATTAATTACAATTTTTTTGATAGGATAAATTTAAATTTGTTTTGCAAACTGTCATCTGTAACTATAAAACATGAAGGTTGAGGGCAAAAAGTGAGCAGGGAAATAAATTTAGATAAAAACATATTTTAGAGAAGTGATTACTAAGCTACTCTCACTGTTGATAAGTGACAAAGACATTTATGGAACTTTCAGGTTGATTGATCAGAAATTTTGTGGTATTTATTCCTCAACTCAATATAATTATACTGCCAAGCTATTAAATTAGTGACATCTAACATGGAGTGATATTTGTAAAGGAAAATGTATGGAATAATATTTAATTAATAATAATACATATAGAACAGTTATCTCTCCAAAATATTCAAGATAGATAGCGTCAATGAAATATAAGCAATTTAATGTATAAGTGGCTATAAGGAAGATCAGATTAATAACAATAGGTTTACAAAGCAACTACTCAGGGACCCATTTATTCTGGAGGCTCTAATTAACTGAGTTCTCAACTGTCTAGGAATAACATACTTTGCACTACCGGTTTATCAAATGCTTTGGAATGCATTCTGGTAAATTGCCAGAAACTAAGGGAAGCAGTCCATTACCTGGGGAGCCTTAACAGCATATTTTAAAACAATATTTTATAATTGTCATTGATATCCTTGGATCTCTTTTAATTATCATGCTTCTGGTTTTTGTTTTTTTTTTTTTTTTTTTTTTTTGTAATCTGATGGTAGTGGTGCTGCATGCAAATTATCTGCTGGCTAGTGTAGCTCCATCAATCCTCTTCTGGAAATAGAGGAGACATAACTCATTTCTTTTATTTTCTATTTGACATGGTAAACCAAGTGAAATTTAGATTGTTTAATGTACCAAATATCCATGCCATTACTAGTATTTGAATATATTTGAAGATGTAATATCCCGGTTGGCAGATTGACCACCTTTAGGCTTATTAAAATTGTTAATACTTTTACAACATAATTTCTGGCCTTTTTATTTTTAATCTGTTGCCAAGATAATATTTATGAGCATGTTAACCATGCTGCTGTGATAACAACAATTAATGCTTCAACTAGTTCTGCTCAGCTAAGTGTGTACAGAGGGAATAGCTGTCATGTTGTTAACACTACCCAGGACAGTCCAGAAAAAGATTTTAATTTTTTTATTATATAGTTTGACATAAAACTACGATGTCATAATTATTTCTGATGTCTGAGGAGAACTCTGCATTAGTTACTCTGCTTCAGTTCCTAAGGTGCCTCTTGCTTTAGTGTCCTGGGAAAACTTCACGCCTCAAATAAATTGAACATGTGATAGACAATGATTACATTTGAAGCCTAGCTGACTGAAATAGACACAATAAAATAAATACACGCACACACGCACACACACACACACACACACATAGAAAGAAGGGGACTAGTGAAGAGATGTCATAGAAAAGGGAAAAGAGTAAAATACTGTGCTCTTAATAAGTGTAGATTTCTACAGTACTCTGCCTCTCAAAGGCATAGCATAGCATTTTCCATAGTTGTATGTACTTATAGTAAATATTTGGTACAAGAAAGACTGTAGATATAGTAGATTCAGGAATAAGTCACTGTCTTCCATGTATGATGCAAGATACTTTATTATTTTTATGAAATAATATATTGGTCAGATACTAGGTATTGCTATACAATTTTTAGTCTCTTCTTTATTATTGCAAATGCACATTCATATCACTGGGTAGAAGGCATTTCTGTTTAATATTTTCTCTGAAGGACTTCAAGTTGTATATTAAGCATACTAATTTGTAGAGTACCAAGACACTCTGATTTATAAAACTCTGATGTTGATTTATAAAACTCTGATGTTGATTTATTCCTATTTTTGAGAAATTTAGCATTCTAATAGAAATGGTGGGTTGAAAAAGCTGTTAAATTATTTAAAAATAAGAAATAACTTTTGTTTAGTGTTTATGGTCAATGAGACAGCATGTCCACAAATTTTTAAAATTCTTCTTTTACATAAATAAAAAGTCTTTTGAGTTTTCCTTCAGTTTTTTATTATATAGTAATTATTTATAGAATTGTTTACTGTCAATACTTAACAATAAGAAATGACTTGGTTATATCTCTATAAAAAGTTTTCAATCATTTACTCATTGTACATGTAGTTATTTAATGCTCTTTCTATAGAAAGCATATGGCAGAAAATGGCCTGAAACTAATACTTGGTTTTCAAAATAAACTTATAGCAACTTACGAAAAATGGATTAAACTATTTTTACTTAATATCATCAGATATGGGGAGATTTCATAGATGAAGAGATTTCTATTATCATTGTATTAGTCTGTTCTCACACTGCTAAAAATAAATATCTGAAACTGGGTAATTTATAAAGAAAAGAGGTTTAATTGGCTCACAGTTCCATGGGCTGTATAGGAAGCATAACTGGGGAAGTTTCAGAAAACTTTCAATTATGGCAGAAGGGTAAGCAGGAATGTCTTACATGGACAGAGCAGGAAGAAGGTGGGAAAGAGGTGCTACAAGCTTTTAAACAACCAGATCTTATGAGAACTCACTCACTATCACAGAACAGCAAGGGCAAAAATCTGCCCCCATGATTGTATCACCTCCTATCAGGCCATTTCTCCAACATTGGGGATTACAATTTGACATGAGATTTGGGTGGGAACATAAATCTAAACCATATCAATTATAGATGGATAGATGAGAATGAATAAAATACTCACTAATTAGTATTCCAGCAAAGGGATATTGCCTCGAAAACGCTCCTCAAAAAGGTACAAGTTACAAGAAAAAAACTTTAGGAAAAGTTTCAAAAAAGTGGCAGAAATATACTTACTGCAAAGATTCTTTAAAAATTTACTATAATCATTTTGCATATTTTTAAATTTTTGAATTGATCGTGAAATAGTCAAAGCCTATAGAAGACATAAATAATAATATAAAGAATATCATTATACATACAACTCAGCTTAAAAAATTAAATCTTGCAATGGTGTTGAAATTTATAGTATAAATGTTTTTCAGTTTATTACTTTCCCTTTTCTCTAGAAGTGATCACTATAATTTGGTGATTGTCATTAACATAACTTTCTTCATATTTCACTGCACTTGTAGGTGTCCCTCAAAACCCCAAATTTTGAGACAGGGCTCAGGTAATTTAGAGAGTTTATTTTGACACCTTATGGTATTTGGCAGGAATAAGTATGAAATTGCCTGATTAATAAATGCAAACAAAAAATGTATGGTGTCAATTCTTAAGACATTTCTAATATTACTTTACCAATCATTCTAAAGCTAGCTTATTTATTAAAGACTTAAGTTACATAAACTTGAAAAAGCATTTGACTAGTCTTTTCTTTTTTCCTGATGCAATATTTGATTTAAACATTTTTATTTTTCTTTAAGCCAATTAATTAGAGGCCTTTTATATATTTTCAGCAGTGAAACATTGTGTAAACAACACATAAATACATAGACGTATGAAAGCACATATTATAGATTCATAAAGATCCTTTTTTTCTATCTTAGACTTTTAGATTCTTGATAACCTATTTTACAACACTGGGTGGTTGTTAGCTAAATAGCCTTAAATTTGCATATTAAAGGAAACAACTCAGGTGAAAGTTAAATAGCAAAATTTACATTATAAGGTACAGAGAGAAAAAGTCTGGTGGTGCTAGAGACGCTTTTACAGTGCACTTAATTTTTTTAACAAAGACATTTCTGAGTGTCTAAAGTACACTCTTCATTAAAAACCCAAGAGTAGCCCCTGTTGCAATAACTATTTTAGTCAAAAAATCAGGTGAAAACAGAATTCAGTCAACTGAGAAGAAAAAAATCTTTTGCTCAAAAAAAAAAAAAAAAAGACAAGGTCTTAAAAGAGAAAAACAGAAACAAAAACATGAAGGCCTTTTAAATACAAACACACTCATGCACACATACACACTTGGGATGCTAGCTTTTAATTAAGCTGACTTTTAACCATTGAGCTCCTTTAAAAAACATTTTAAAATCTCAGTACTATGTTTCAGCTAGGACAAATTGCTGCTATTTCAGAAGCACCAAGTATCAAAAAGACTGAAATAACAACAAAAACAGAAACAAACAAACAACAATAACAACAACAACAGAAACAGGTAAGCAATACAAATGATTGCACAACTTATATGATTGCTGAGTGCTCTAATAGTAAGGAGAAATTAAGACCATCTGGTGGTCAATCTTACCTTTAGCCAAAACAAACCCTAATTCAGTTACTTACCTAGGGATGGGTCTCAGGCTGTAGACTGCCAGACTGCTCTCCTGCTCTCCTGCTCTCTACCATCCTAGAAGCACACACACACACACACACACACACACACCCTCATCTTCCCTGTTGGAAGCGAGCTCAAACTCCACACAGGTGTTGCCTGCCTTTCATCATCATGGAAGCAGAAAAACTTGCCTTCCTTGTGTTGAAAGCAAGTAAAACTCCCCAAAAAAGTGGAGTTGTACAGCAAAATAAACTTTAGATCTTGACCAAATTTGGGGAGATCAGGGATTGTCTGGAGGGGTTGCTCTCAGACCTCAGCAACGTTTCCTATTGGTTTGAGCCGTAAAGTTAGCTCATCAAGCGGCAGTAAGAGATTTGTCAAAGGTCGGGGGCATCTCCACTCAGAATCCCCGCCGTGGTTAACAAAATGTGAATGCAGAAAATCTGAGAGAGGTCTCAGTTAATTTAGAAAGTTTATTTTGCCAAGGTTGAGGATGCATGTCCATGACACAGCCTCAGGAAGTCCTGATGACATATGTCCAAGGTGGTTGGGCAAAGTTTGGTTCTATACATTTTAGCGAGATAGGAGACATCAAGCAATATATGTAAGAAGTACATTGGTTCTGTCTGGAAAGAAGTGACAACTGGAAGCAAAGCCAGGAAGACTTGAAATGGGGAGGGGGCTTCCAGGTTACAGATAGGTGAGAGAAAAACAGTTGCATTCTTTTGAGTTTCTGACTAGCCTTTCCAAAGGAAGCAATCAGATAGGATTTATCTCAGTGAACGGAGGGATAACTTTGAATCGAATCGGAAGCAGGTTTGCCCTAAGCAGTTCTCAGCTGCTTCCCTTTAGCTTAGCGAGTTTTGGGGCCCAAGATATTTTCCTTTCACACCCTGAACAACAAGTGGCATGTTTTTCATGCTTTAACTTTTAATGTGTAGAATGGTTGGTGAATTTTCCTGCAATATGTTTTTACATAGCAATGTTTTTAAGAGTCATCTACATTTATAGTTGCAGCACTAGTTCCTTCATTTTTACTGTTAAATAGAATTCAATTTTATGACTGTTCCAGAATTTGTTGACTATGGTACATTCAGGCTACTCTTGTTTGTCATTGTCAAAATGCTGATATGGACATTGTTGAATATGTATTCCTGAACATGTATGTGAGGGCTCTCTAGGACTGAAATTGTGATGATATGTATATCTTACACTTAAATAGAATTTGCCAAGTTATTTTCAAAATTTTCATAAATAATTTAATTCCCCTAATGAATTTCTAAGAACTCTGTTAGCTCCACATTAGAGCCAATATTTGCATTTCAGACTTTCAAAAATAGGTATTATAGTCACATAGTTAAAATATCAAAACAATATAAAATTATATACACTGAAATATTTGTTGTTAATAGTTTAAATGTGGATCTGGAGAAAAGTCAATCACTGCAGGCAATTTATTATGGGAATTGAGTTCATTAAACAAGAAGGAGGATTAAATGATAGCATTTTGGGGTAAGGATGATAAAAGAATAAATGGTGCATTATTGGGCTGATAACTTATGTGGGAAGCTAGGGCTTATTTCTGCTGAAAATTCTATGACACAGTGTGGAATATGCCTCAGAATTTTTTGCTGATGATTGAGAGTTGCCCTTGAGGACATTAACTTCTCTGACTCTAAGCTAAGCAATCTTACAGGGCTTCATGTGAGACATGAAGTCAAGGGAGATTATTTTAAAGCTTTAATATTTAATGACTGCCCTGATGGGTTTTGAACTTGCATGGGGCCTGTAACCCCTTTCTTTTCACTGATTTCTTCCTTTTGGAATGGAAATTTTTACCCAATGCCCATTCCTCCATTGTATCTTGGAAGTAACTAGCTTGTTTTTATTTTTTACAGGTTCATAGGTGAAAGGATTAGCCTTGTCTCAGATGAGACTTTAGACTCTGGATTAATGCTAGAAGGAGTAAAGACTTTGGGGGACTGTTAGGAAGGCATGACTGGATTTTGCAATGTTAAAAGGACATGAGATTCGGGAGGAGCTAAGGGTGGAATGTTACGGTTTGGATCTGTGTCCCCACCCAAAGTTCATGTGGAATAGTAACCTTCAATGTTGAAGGTGGGGCCTGATGGGAAGTGATTGGATTATGGGTTGAGTTTTCCCTTTGGTGCTGTTCTGGTGATACATTTCTCACCAGACATGGTTGTTTGAAAGTGTGTGGCAACTCCCCGCCTTTCTTTTCCTCCTGCTCTGGCCATATGAAGTGACTCACTTCCCCTTTGCCTTCCACCACGATTGAAAGCTCCGTGAGGCCTGCCCAGTTGAGCAGAAGCCTCCATGCTTTCTATACAGCTTTTGGAACCATGAACCAATTAAAACTCTTTTCTTTGTAAATTACCCAGTCTCAGGTATTTCTTTATAGCAACTTGAGAACAAACTAATACAGGTAGCAAAATGTCTACTACTACGCTTCCTTCTTTTCCACATCTAAAGTATTTCTCAATCCCTATAGATAACCGCTTTTAATAATGTTTTTGTATTTCCTTATAAAATTTCTTATAGAAGGCAAGCACAAAATGAATACACAATTGTTCTTCCCCATTTCTCACATACATTTTGCTGTAGAACAACATATTTTGTATTTATCCCCAACAGTACATGGTAAGATTTGTTATTCTCTTTAGCAACTGCATTATATGGATGTACTATAATTTTAAACCAGTATACCATAGATATTCAGTTGGTTTTTTCCCCAAATTTTCCCATTTTGCTATTACAATAACAAACCTGGTTCATATGTATTTTATAGGCATTCTTGTAGAATATTTGGGGTAAATGCATTTGCAATTTTGACAGTTCTTTTGAAATTGTTTCCTAGGGGATCATAACATTTTATGCCCCATAAAACAGTGTGAAAGATCCTATTTTTCTACAGTTTCAACAACATTGTGTATTGTCAAGCTTGTGTGTTTTTGTTAATCTCATAGATAAGAGGGTTATTTCAATAAAGCTTTAAATTACCTTTCAATACCAGCAATAAAAATTTCACAACTGTTTTATATGTTTAAGGGATGATTGCACATTTTTTATAATGGTTTATGCCATTTGCCTATATTTTTACTGGGTTGTGTCTGTTTTTTTTTATTTCTCTGACATATCGATGGACAGATGGATGGATGGACAGATAGATAATAGATACATAGATAACTTATGGTATAAAATTTACAAAGATTTTATCTTTTTAGTGTGCTTTGGTGGGGTATTTTTTTTAACCATAAAACAATTTTCATTATTTTTATGTAGTTAATTTATGATTTTTTTAATATACTGTGTCATAATTAGAAAGACCTTTTCCACAAAAGATTATACAAATTTTTATCCTAATACATGCATTGGCTTTTTTTTTTTTGGTTGCATTCACATATTTCATCTAGTGGTATATTTCTTAATGTACAGGAGGTATGAAGTCAACTAGTTGTCCAAACACTATTTACTAATGTCCATATTATCCCATAGGAAAATGCAGGAATCACTTTTCTCATGACTGAGGTAAGTAGGTGTATTAGATTTATATTGCTGCATATAAAATTACCAAAATCTTACTGGCTTAAAATAACAAAAGTTTGTTTTGTCATAGTTCCCATGTTTCAAAAATCCAGCATGTTTTCACTGGATTCTCTTTTTAGAGTCTTAAAAAACTGAAGTCAAAATTTCTGCTGGGCTATGGTCTTATCTGAAGGCTCAATTAAGGAAGATCTACTTGTAAGCACCATCAGATTTTTTGCAAAATTTGTTTTCTTGAAGTGGTAGGACAGAAGTTTTTATTTTTATGTTACCTGTTGACTGGGGATGACTGTCAGCAACTAGAGGCCTCTCTCAAGTCCTTTCCACATGGCCCTTCATCTCAGAAATAAAAAACCTCCCATGCATCATATTCCTCTCATGCTTTAAATATCTATGACTTTCCCTTATGCAACAAACTGAAGCAGCAGATAACCATCCAATTGTAAGTTAAACCTTTTATTAATCCTATTTTTATTTGCAAAATACCATTTGCTGTGTAATATAATCATGGGTATAGCATCAGTGAGTGGAGATCATGAGAGAAACATTAAGATTCTGCTTACTATACATATATACCTAGACCCCAGGCAGATATAGAAAAGTTTTACCGAAGACTTTCTTTGATGACAAACATATTATTCCTAGTTTACCATTTCATTGAGGATATAGGGCCTTACTGTGTGTAAGGGTTGAGTTTTAACTCCCACTCTTCTCAGTTTCAAGCCCTTATCTCCTGGCCCAAAAATCCATCAAGACACAACAATCGTATGTATTCATATGTGTTAGTGTGTTCTTGCATTGTTATAAATAAATACCAGAGACTGGATAATTTGTAAAGAAAAAGGTTTATTTTGGCTCACAGTTCTACAGGCTGTAGAGGAAGCAGGGTTCCTGCATCTGCTCCTGGTGAGAGCCTCAGGAAGCTTACAATCATTGCAGAAGGAAAAGGGAAATGAGCATGTCACGTGGCAAAAGAGAGCAAGAGACAGTAAAGAGGGCCATCCCAGAATCTTATATTTTTATTTTTAAATTTTATTTTATTATTATTATTATTATTATTATAATATTATTTTTATTGAGACAGAGTCTCACTCTGTCACCCAGGCTGGAGTGCAGTGGCCAGATCTCGGCTCACTGCAACCTCCACCTCCCAGATTCAAGCAATTCTCCCGTTTCAGCTTCCCGAGTAGCTGGGATTACAGGTGTGCACCGCCACGTCTGGCTAATTTTTGTATTTTTACTAGAGACAGAGTTTCACCATTTTGTCCAGTCTGGTCTCGATCTCCCAGCCTCAGATGATCTGCCTGCCTCGGTCTTCCAAAGTGCTGGGATTACAGGGGTGATTCACTGCGCCTGGCCCCAGAATCTTTTAAACAACCAGATCTTGTGTGAACTAACTGAACAAGAAGTCAGATATCACCAAGAGGATGGTGCTAAACCATTCATGAGGGATCTGCTCCCACGATCCAGTCACCTCGTACCAGGCCCTACCTACAACACTGGAAATCACATTTCAACATGAGGTTTGTGGGGGGACAAATATCCAAACAATATCACTCATATCAGCACATGATATCAGAAAGGGTGAGTCTTTCTTGTTGCTCTAGTTTCATGATCCTCTTCATTTTTATACCATATAATTTTTTCTTCAGTTTATTAAAAATGTATCTATGCATTTAATTGTATGTTAACTGAAATTTCTAGTTGTTTTAGAAAGCTTTTGTTCTGGTTGTAAGGCTACTATGAGGCATAAAATGAGAGTCTCAATTGTGTTATTTTACTTCTATTATTACCTACATTATGTAAGTTTCTGCAGATATTATTTATTTATTGCATTTATTAAAGAAAAAGGTGAGCAAATTAAGAGATACAATTTTATTCAAACATAAAGCACAAGAAGAGCAATTTCATGAAACCCATGTTTATAATAATATGTTTCAGTTGCTAAAAACCTGAAATTCCTAATGGAGATAACTGCATATTTGTTTTCCAATCAGCAATTCAAGACAGCATTTTTATTTTCATATAGTAATGCAATATGTATATCTATCCATCTATCTATATGTAATTTTGGGTGATTAAAATAATCACACATAGGGATTATTCACAGATAGTAGTAGCAGATAGATATTTTGCTATTGCAAAACACATTCAGAGGCTGGTTGTCAGTCACATAAAAAATGGTTAACAATCCTAACTCTAGGTTTTATACAAGTCTGGTCTTAAGGCTAAAGGCTGTGACCCGAAGCCCAGACTCTCTATGATGTTTGTTTGTTTTTAGAGGATAATATTTTCCTCTAATATTTCTTATTTTCTTATCATAGTTCTGCATGTCTGTGGAAACCACAATCACTCTGTTTTTCACATCATCAAGAAAGTGAATTACTGGACAGGTTTATACTTCATGTCTACCAATTCTCACATTCTGCTAGTACTCTGTTATTTCCAGCACATATGTCATGCCTGGAAGATAATAGTTGGGTCATATATCCTAATGTATATCAAAGCTATGGATTCTTCAAGTTCCAAAGTATAACTAAGCACCCTTAATTCTCCCTAAGTCTATTATCCTTACAATAAGCTCCTTCAGCTTCTAACTCTAAAATAAAGCTTTCATGCATTTAAAATTATGCTACTAGACATGCAAGGAGATCATAAGCCTGGGAATTCTGTCAAAAATCGGGCTACTAATATGTGATTACTGTAAGCTTTTATAATAGGACTGTATAACACCTTATATTTCTCATGCTTAATACTTTAATTCTTTTTATAAATTATTTGGTGGCTATCTTTTAGATGCCTGTTCATATGTAAAATCTTTATATAAATTATAAACTGCCTATATAGGAATTGTATATTTGTAATTTATTCTAAATAACACAAATATAGTGTATATTGGGCAACCAAACACATACAATTACGTAAATTAGCCAGAACTATGTGCTTATTTGTTATTCAGTGAAATATTCTCTTTTAAAAAGTTAATTGAAAAATATTCATATTCACCATATGTAGTTACATTTTAAAATTGCATTCTTAGAATTAAATAAAATCAAGATGGCATTTTAAAAAAAAGAGTTTTAGACTTTTGTTCTCAGTTGCACCTTGAATAATATTATAAAGGAGCAAATGAACTTCTATTCTTTGTATTTCACTTTCCCCTTAATTGAAATCATTACTTGAAATAGAAAAATTAAATTACCAGTGTTGGCAAGAGAAATAATATGTTTAAGGGTATCTTAAGGTATACAGTTATCTCCCGTAAGTTTTCAAGATAGTTATATTTAAATAGCATTATTATCAAGCAAATTTGAAATAATCATTTTTACATGTTATCAGCACTAATAATAAAGAGGAGTCATACACCCTGTTCCCTCAGAGCCTAGGTCTGCACAGCCAAAGGTTGCACTGAACATGTTCCTGTACTTTTATGCCACATGTCCTGTAAAAATTATGTTGGGGCTGATACCATTATTTAAAAATGTGTTTTCCATAAAATATATATTGGAAATGTATTCTGAGAAAATAATGCCAGAACTGGAAATAAATTTAAAGATGAAGACAACTTTTGTAAATAATATTCTCTTTCTCTCTGAAAAGTAACTAATCTTAAACTATATTCCATCAGGCTAAAACATGAAATATTGTAAGCACAAAATATGGAAGAAGACACATTCTTAAGGATGATAAAGGTAGACTGAGGGAAAACATCCCTCCTTAATTGGCACTAACAATTGCATTTGATTCTTAGTTCATACACACTAAGCAATGTAAAAGTGAAAGTGGATAAACTCTACCTAATAGTAGTTGTTAATATGAGGGAAACATATGGGCAAAATTTGCAACATTAATATTCTATGTCATGTACACAATTAGCATACATAATACTGTACATAGAATGATAACATATTTTGTTCAACTACATAGAATGAAGGGCACATGAAATCACTACTAACCTGAATAATTAGCTTGATTTTCTGTGACATTAATCAATAAGATTAGAAAGGAAGGTCTAACATTTATTTAGGAGTCTGGGCTCTGAAATTAGACTATCTGATTATAAATTTCAAAAACCATCTTGTGGCACTTACCAATGTCTCACAGTAAATACTAGCTATTATTTTTCTGTCTGTGTAAACATTTAAAATGGTGCATTTCAGTTAAAGGAATGGGAGCAAAAAGAAAAGAAAGGCACAGAGACTAATGCCAGTTGATGTTCATTAAAATGTTCCAAAGAAGGATTTGGGACCATTAGCAGATGCTAAGTATGATTTTGTGTGTGTGTGTCCTGTTGGCAAGTAGAGTTGTGTAGATAAATAAATCAGGCAATTTTAACCTAATGACATTACATGTTTGAGTCCTTTGTGGCTGAATGAACTTAAAAACACCAAGAGGCAAATCTGAGAAATAATACAAGATCTGACTGCAGGAGCAATAACTGGGCTTTTGTTTTGCTGAGTATACAAGCTAAAGGAAGGATCAATATTACTCTGAAATATAAGCTAATATTTTAGAAGCTACATGAAGGATAAAAAAGATGAGGAGAAATAAGACACCGTAACTTTGGGGAAAAAAAAAACAGAGATTTTCTTAAATGGAATTTTGTAAATCTTTACTACTTTGCTTATGACATAAACCTTTTATTTAAAAACTCTCTCCTCATAAAATATTCTTTAAATATCTAGCTCTTGTTAATGCAATGGAAAGATGGATCTTCTTTGGGTATGTGTCAAACTGCTAAATCCATCCAGGTGGGAGAAGGGTGAGAACCAATTATGCCTATGTAGACATAACCACTTCTAGATCACACTTAGATCTAACTTGTCTTGTTCAAAGTTGAAGCTCCCAAAAAAGCAACATTCTAATTAAACATTGCCTTTTCATGTGGGTACCTCTACAACAAGAATATATGCTGTTCACACAATATGACTATCCTGGTATTTGTTATATTCTTAATTTTAAAAGAATAAAACATAATCTTAATGTGACAAATGAATCTCTACATATTAAGTAATAAAATTTTACTCAGAAAGATGGATTTACTCTTTGTACTCTGAAAACAAAAAGAAAGAAAAATGAAAGAAAATGAAAGAAAAAGCCTTTTCATGTTGAAAAAGATGTTCTGGCCAATGTCAAATGTATGAATGTAAATTCTAGGAAGGAGGGCTTTTGGCAAATATCCAAAAAATAAAGGCTGAAGCTCACAATGAACTTTTCCACCCATATTTCACTTTGGGAAATATATGATTAATATAGTTTGCAAAAAAAAATAGAGAACATTTAGAGAAGATAGTCCAAAATGTCTGCAAATATGATAGAAGACTAATAGGAAATAATGTTATGGAATGAGGAGAAATGTAATATATTATTTTATCATGCCTGTATTCATCATGTTTAACTTATGCCACTTCATCTCCTACTGCTACATCTGATATATATAATGGGAGAATTCCCTGATTTCCCCTCACAGGACATGTGACAGGGGTGTGGCTCACCTGTTCGGTTGCCCTGCAGCTCAAACCCCTGAGGGGAGCATGCAGTCGGGCAGGTGCAGAGGCTGGGGCCAGTGTCTAGGGGTGGGTACCTGCAACCCCAGTGCTACAAAGGTCTTTCAGTTTTGCCATCTGCAGATTGTTTGATGGTAAATAAGCTCAATGGACCCTCTGCCTTATCGCAAGGGCAGAGGGCCAATGTGACAGCCTTCTGTATCCTGAGCACTTGCCCCGTGTCCCAGAAGGATCCAATCACACGTGGGCTCAAAGGATGAGTGCAAGGTTTTATTGAATGTTGGAGGTGGAGCTCAGCAAGATGGATGGGGAGCTGGAAGGTGGAGGGGTCGGGGAGTTCTCTGCTGAACTCTCGATGTTCAGACGCTTCTTCCTTCCTTCTTTTCTGTGACACCCTGCTGCTGTCTACTGCTCTCTTCCACTCTCTGCCGCTCTGTTCCTCTGCTCCTCTTGACATTCAGCCACTTGTGTTGTGTGCCCCCTATAGTCTCGGGTTTATATGGGCACAGGATGGGGATTGTGGCAGGCCAGAGTGGTCTTGAAAAATGCAACATTCAAGCATGAAAACAGGAGTGCCTGTTCTCACTTAGGTCCATGGGTACAGGCCCAAGGGTGGCCAGGGACTCCACCCTCTCTACCCAACAATTTCTTGGCCCCCTCCCGTATTATATATATAGATATATAGATAGATAGATACACACACACATTTATATAAAAATATCAGTAGTAGCAAATCATAAAGCAGAAATGTATCCCAAGATAGTTTCTTCAAACTTACAATTAGAGCTTCCCTCAAACACATGAAAGTGTAAGAAACTGTCAGAAGAGCAAGATACTATCCTTATTAAATGTTATTCCATGGATACTTTGTGAGAATAATTAAGTTTGAGGAGAGCCATTATTGTATATCAATAAGTGATCATCAAGAAATATTTTTTAATCATTTGATATCATAAAATTAATTGTTCTTTATGCTGCTTTACTTAAAAATTTTTCTTCTCCACAAAATCTTCTGCTGTATAACTGAACCTAAATTATTATTTCAGTGACACATACTGGAAACTAGATTGTCTTCCCAGGAAAATGTCTACAGAATTAATCTTTTTTATTACAAAAAATTAATAATAAACTAAGCTTCCAGCAACCAAGAAAAAACCATATGATTGTGAAATTTTGTACTCCAATAAATATCCCAGATCATCTTATGGAACTTCAGAATGTTACTCCAGGACATCAGTTTATCCAAGCTTTTATATTAGGCAAAAGTATTTTCCTAACTTCATTCTCATATTCTCTTTTTACTAATAGCAATATATACATATATATACACACATATATATACACATATATATACACACACATATATACACATATATACACACATATATATACACATATATACACACATACACATATATACACACATATATATACACATATAGATATATACACGCACACACATATATATAAAGAACATTAGGGAACAAAGATGTAGTGGTGTCATAAATGATAACTGATTAAATGTTTCAGCTTTTAAACATTAGGGTTTGTCAGATGGTGGGGTCAGAAGACAAGGTATTCAATACTTGGCTTTTAAATATATTTCCTTATATGTGCAAAGAACAAAGGGAATTACATGAAAATGACTTAAAACAAGGGTTTGAGATAGAGGCTATGTGTGTGTATGTGTTTGTGTGTTAAGCTCAGTATTATAATCAAAGCTATAATGAGCAAGAAGTCTTCTAAGACATGTACATCCATTGGCGGAATTGTTTCCACCCTTAATATCTTCACTTAACCCCTACATAATAATGATACCATCTATCTGAAAAGCACATCGCAAAGGAATGTTATTCTCCAGCAAGAGAATAATCTTGTAAAAATCATGATATTCGAATGATAAAAAATTAAGCTGTTTATTTTTTATAGCAAAACTCAATGAGATATTTAATAAGTGAACAGATTCCAAAAATATTTAAATTCTGGTTAGGCAAGCATTCATTTGTTTACCTCTTTGTGTTTTAAAACTGAAATATTAACAGAATTAAATTTTAGAAATCCAAGGGAATCTGTATATTTTAAAGCATATATTAAGGACAAAAAAACATACGTTACAAAAAATTATTTTTAAAGGCATTTTTTTCCTCTGAGAATTCGAAAATAAACAGAAATTGAATTAAATCATCTTACATTTGAAGGCTTAATTCAAAATATTATCTCTGTGTATTTTAGAAATACTTGCATAAAATACGTCCAGTTGCCTTCTCAGGGATGGTATTCTAAAAGTACTTTTCTACTTTCATCTAAATATTGAAACAGATGTCAAATAATGTCAAAAACAATGAACTGTCTAGTAAGCTCAAGAACAGTCAGAGTTAGAATATAAATTTTTTTCTGATGTTGAGTAAGATGTTTTCTGATGCTAGTTTGTTGAAAACTTTCCTGAAGCCTTTGAGCTCAAAAAAATTTTTATACTTTAAAAAAAAAAATATTCAGTAGGACTTCAACTTTAAGGAACCAGTCCAGGGAGATATTTGTCAGGACAGAGTGAGACAGATAAATAGCAAGAACCGACTTTCTATGCTTTAATGAAATATATATTTTATAACCTACAATGGCTAAGAATTTATGTAAGAAATAAAATTGCATTCATTGGTTTAATAAAACTAGAAACACACTCATAGACACGCACGCCATCATCATCATCATCTTTCATTAAACCGTGTATGGTTTACAGAAATTTTTGTTGATATAGTTTTCTCTTTTCATAGAATATATTACATTTATAGTAATTATTTCAAAATTCAGATGTGTGAACACCATGGGATACCCCAAAAAGTGCACTGGGGTGTGGGAAAATTTTGGAACGGCTTGTGCTTGCCATTTATCTAACTATAATTTTTACTTGTGTTCACTTCATAATGTGTATAGGATATAAATATGCCTGTGTAAAATTTAGGGATAAATCTGGATGCTTTTATTGGTAGCACTTTCTCAAAAATGCATGGGATGCTGCTTCAACAAAGTTTGCAGAGTATGTGTTTACAGAACTAGAAAGTTGGACATAGTTTTCACAAAATGTAACTATATAACTGCTTCTATCCCTCTTGGTCTCCTCTGATTTAATGGATGATCTGATAACTCCCAGCAATATGGTTAAATCTTATTGCTATTTCTTGTTTCCATAGGGATAATCATTTCAGGGACGGGTTCCTTGTAGGGATAGAGGTACAATTACTGAAATGCTCTATTGCCACTCAAAGTTAAGTGATGAAAAATAGTAAACATCTAGCCCTCAACTGTATTCTCCGTGTTTTTTTTTTTTTTAATTCAAGACGCTGTATTTTCCCACACAGTTTATCCCATTGAGATAAATGCAATTTGAATTAAAACTTTGAAGGCAAGGACTCTGTTTGGTTATCTTTGATGTAATTCCTTTGAACATATGTGTTGACTGAAGAAAGGCTAATTCTACCAAACTCAACTCTAGTATTCTCTGGGCTTTACATGGGGTGATTAGCATAAAGGGAGGTAAGTAAAATTTATAAAAATTAATAAATTCCAATTATGCTATAGCAGAATAAGCCCACTATAGCCTATCTTTTTTGCTGTTTATAATTATAAATCCTGGACAAATTACAAAAAGTAAATACCAAAGACTGAAATGAAGTCACTGGGTTTCTACTGTTAGAAAAAGAAACACCTTCTTTAGATGTTTACACAGACAGAAAAATAATGACTCATTTATTGTGAGACATTGGTAAGTGCCACAATATAGTTTTTGAAATTTAAAATCCAGATAGCCTGATTTCAGAGCCCAGACTCTTAAATAGCAGTTATATATTCCTTTCTAGTCTTGTAAATCAAACAAAAAAAGTAAAATGCACTTCATTTCTGTATTGAAAAACACAGAAAAAGAAAGCAAGCTAGAATATTATGGATGGCAAAGATTGCTTGTTTTGGTTTTTGGTTGTTGTTTGGTCCTTTTTCTCTCATGACTTTGCCCTGAGGGAATGCTCTGGTCATAAAGCTGTGCATTGGAGAAATAGTGCAGATGGCAAAAACTTTAATTTAAAAACACACTTTCTTTTTTGTCATAATAACTTGGAAGAGGCACCCCGAATGACCAGAGCGCCCCTGCACAGAGTCCCCACTGGGGCACTGCCTAGTGGAGCTGTGGGAATGGGGACATCACCCTCTAGACCCAAGAATCTGGCAGAACCACTGGCAGTTTGCAATCCCAGCCTGGAAGGGACACAGACATTTAACTCCAATTCATGAAAGCAGCTACAGGGTCACCCTGCAAAGCCGCAGAGGCAGAGCTACCCAAGGCCTAGGGAGCCCACCCCTTGCACTAGTGTGCCCTGGATGCGGCCATGGAGTCAAGGATTATTCTGGAGCTTTAAGATTTAATGACTGCCCTGCAGGGGTTTCAGACTTGCATGGGGCTTGTTGTCCTTTTCATTTGGATGATTTATCCCTTTTGGAATGGGAAAGTTTACTCAATGCTTGTACCACCATTGTATCTTGGAAATAAATAACTTGGTTTTATGTGAAAGAATTGACGAGGTCCCTATGAAGACTGTTAAATTCCACCTTTGAAGTCAATATCAGTTTCCAGACACATGTGTGTGTGGCTGTTCAAATAATTTAATAGTAGGTATTCCTTGGCTTCAAAGAGTGAGATAACTATTAATGTTTTTGCTCCCAAAATCATGTAGTGTATTGTCTACAAGCTAGGAAGATCACACACTCAGGTTTGTATGTAATATTTCTGATTTATGTCTTTTTTTCCAGGGTCTTGTTTAGTTTTACTTTTTTTTATACATTTTCATTTTTAATTAAGTATTAATAGTTGCATTAAAATAGTCTACAATGGATTCATTAGTCTTTTTTCTTTTTTTGAGACAGAGTCTTGCTCTTGCACTGTCACCCAGCCTGGAGTGCAGTGGTGCAATGTTGTTCACTGTAGCCTCAACCTCCCAGGCTCAAGCTATCCTCTCACCTCAGCCTCCTGAGTAGCTGGGACTATAGGCATGTGCCATGACACCTGGCTGATTTTTTTTTTTTTTTTTGTAGACATGGGGTTTGGCCATTCTTGATTTAACAATGGAGTAAACAGACATTCAATATGGCCGAATAGGAACAGCACTGGTCTGCAGCTCCCAGCGAGATTGATGCAGAAGGCAGGTGATTTCTGCATTTCCAACTGAGGTACACAGTTTATCTCACTGGGCCTGGTTGGACAGTGGGTGCAGCCCATGGAAGGCGAGCCGAAGCAGGGTGGGGCATTGCCTCACCTGGGAAGCACAAGGGTTCGGGGAATTCCCCCCGCTACCCAGGGGAAGCCGTCAAGGTCTGAGCCTGAGGAACTCTGGCACAGATACTGCACTTGTACCACGGTCTTCACAACCTGCAAACCAAGAGATTCCCTCTGGTGACTACTCCACCAGGGCCCTGGGTTTCAAGCACAACACTGGGTGGCCAATTGGGCAGACACCGAACTAGCTGCAGGAGTTGTTTTTTGTTTTTTTTTTTTCCCATGCCACAGTGGCGCCTGGAATGCCAGTGAGACAGAACCTTTCCTCCCCTGGAAAGGGGGGCTGAAGCCAGGGATCCAAGTGGTCTGGTTCAGCAGGTCCCACCCCCATGGAGCCCAGGAAACTAAGATCCACTGGCTTGAAATTCTGGCTGCCAGCACAGCAGCAATCTGAGATCCACATGGGATGGTCGAGCTTGGTGGGGGAAGGGGCGTCTGCCATTGCTGAGGCTTGAGTAGGCAGTTTTAGGGCCACAGTGTAAACAAAGCTGCCGGGAAGTTCAAACTGGGCAGAGCCCACTGCAGCTCAGCAAGGATGCTGTGGCTAGACTGTCAGATTGCTCCTCTATGGACAGGACATCTCTGTAAAAAAGGCAGCAGCCCCAGTCAGGGGCTTATGGCAGACTTAAACGTCCCTGCCTGATGGCTCTGAAGAGAGCAGCAGACCTCCCAGCAGAGCGTTCGAGCTCTGCTGAGGGTCAGTCTGTCTCCTCACGTGGGTCCCTGACCCCTGTGTATACTGACTGGGAGACACCTCCCAGTTGGGGCCGACAGATACCTCATACAGGAGGGCTCTGGTTGGCATCTGGCAGGTGCCCCACTGGGTCGAAACTTCCAGAGGAAAGAACAGGTAGCAATCTTTGCTGCTCTGCAGCCTCCACTGGTGATACCCAGGCAAACAGGGTTGGGAGTGGACCTCCAGCAAACTCCAGCAGACTGGCAGCAGAGGGGCCTGAATGTTAGAAGGAAAAGAAACAAACAGAAAGGATTAGCACGTCCACTCAAAGACCCCATCCAAAGGTCACCAACATCAAAGACCAAAGGTAGATAAATCCACAAAGATGGGGAAAAGCCAGTGCAAAAAGGCTGAAAATTCCAAAAACCAGAATGCCTCTCCTCCTCCAAAGGATCACAACTCATCTCCAGCAAGGGAACAAAACTGGACAGAGAATGAGTTTGATGAACTGACAGAAGTAGGCTTCAGAAGGTGGGTAATAACAAACAACTCCGAGCTAAAGGAGCATGTTCTATCCCAATGCAAGGAAGCTAAGAATCTTGAAAAAGGTTAGTCAAATTGCTAAGTAGAATAACCAATGTAGAGAAGAACATAAATGACCTGATGCAGCTGAAAAATACAGCACAAAAACTTTGTGAAGAATACACAAGTATCAACAGCCGAGTCAATCAAGCAGAAGAAAGGATATCAGTGATTGAAGGTCAACTTAATGAAATAAAGTATGAAGACAAGATTAGAGAAAAAAGAATAAAAAGGAATGAACAAAACCTCCAAGAAATATGGGACTATGTGAAAAGAACAAACCTACGTTTGATTGGTGTACCTGAAAGTGACAGGGAGAATGGAACCAAGTTGGAAAACACTCTTCAGGGTATTATCCGGGAGAACTTCCCCAACCTAGCAAAACAGGACAACATTCAAATTCAGGAAATACAGAGAATACCACAAAGATAATCCTTGAGAAAGCAACCCAAAGCACATAATCGTCAGATTCACCAAGGTTGAAATGAAGGAGAAAATGTTAAGGGCAGCCAGAGAGAAAGGTCTGGTTACCCACAAAGGGAAGTCCATCACACTAACAGCAGATCTCTCTGCAGAAACCCTACAAGCCGGAAGAGCGTGGGGGCCAATATTCAACATTCTTAAAGAAAATAATTTTCAAACCAGAATTTCATATACAGGCAAAGTAAGCTTCATAAGCAAAGGAGAAATAAAATCCTTTACAGACAAGCAAATGCTGAGGGATTTTGCAACCACTAGAACTGCCTTACAAGAGCTCCTGAAAGAAGCACTAAACATGGAAAGGAACAACTGGTACCAGCCACTGCAAAAACATACCAAATTGTAAAGAACATTGACACTATGAAGAAACTGCATTAACTAATGGTCAAAACAACCAGCTAGCATCATAATGACAGGATCAAATTTACACATAATAATATTAACCTTAAATGTAAATGGGCTAAATGCCCCAATTAAAAGGCACAGACCAGACTGGCAAATTGGATAAAGAGTCAAGACCCATCAGTGTGCTGTCTTCAGGAGACCCATCTCACGTGCAAAGACACACATAGGCTCAAAATAAAGGGATGGAGGAATATTTACCAAGCAAATGGAAAGCAAAAAAAAAAAGCAGGAGTTGCGAACCTAATCTCTGATAAAACAGACTTTAAATGAAAAAAAGATCAAAAGAGACAAAGAAGGGCATTACATAATAGTAAAGGGAACAATGCAGCAAGAAGAGCTAACTATCCTAAATATATATGCACCCAATACAGGAGGACCCAGATTCATAAAGCAAGTTCTTAGAGACCTACAAAGAGACTTAGACTCTCACACAATAACAGTGGGAGACTTTAACACCCCACTGTCAATATTGGACAGATCAACAAGACAGAAAATTAACAACGATGTTCAGGACTTGAACTTAGCTCTAGACCAAGTGGAACCAATAGACCTCTACAGAACTCTCCACCCCAAATCAACAGAATATACATTCTCTTCAGCACCTCATTGCACTTATTCTAAAAAGGACCACATAATTGGAAGTAAAACACTCCTCAGCAAATGCAAAAGAATGGAAATCATAACAAACAGTCTCTCAGACCACAGTGCAATCAAATTAGAACTCAGGATTAAGAAACTCATTCAAAACCACACAAATACATGGAAAATGAACAACCTGCTCCTGAATGACTACTGTGTAAATAACAAAATTAAGGCAGAAATAAATAAGTTCTTCAAAACCAATGAGAACGAAGACACAACGTACCAGAATCTCTGGGACACATTTAAAGCAGTGTTTAGAGGAAAATTTATAGCACTAAATGCCCACAACAGAAAGGAGGAAAGATCTAAAATTGACATCCTAACATCAAAATTAAAAGAACTAGAGAAGCAACAGCAAACAAATTCAAAAGCTAGCAGAAGACATGAAACAACTAAGATCAGAGCAGAACTGAAGGAGTTAGAGACACAAATAACCCTTCAAAAAATCAATGAATCCAGGAGCTGCTTTTTGAAAAAAATCAACAAAATAGATAGACTGCTAGCCAGACTAATAAAGGAGAAAAGAGAGAAGAATCAAATAGATGCAATAAAAAATGATATAAGGGATATCACCACTGATCTCACAGAAATATGTGGGTATTCCCATCAGAGAATACTGTAAACACCTCTACACAAATAAACTAGAAAATCTAGAAGAAACGGATAAATTCCTGGACACATACACCCTCCCAAGTCTAAGCCAGGAAGAAGTCGAATCCCTGAGTAGACCAATAACAAGTTCTGAAATTGAGGCAGTAATTAATAGCCTACCAACCAAAAAGAGTCCAGGACCAGATGGATTCACAGCCGAATTCTACCAGAGGTACAAGGAGGAGCTGGTACCATTCCTTCTGAAACTATTCCAAACAATAGAAAAAGAGGGAATCCTCCCTAACTCATTTTATGAGGCCAGCATTGTCCTGATACCAAAACCTGGCAGAGACACAACAAAAAAAGAAAATTTCAGGCCAATATCCCTGATGAACATCGATGTGAAAATTGTCAAAAGAATACTGGCAGGCCAGGTGTGGTGGCTCACGCCTGTAATCCCAGCACTTTGGGAGGCTGAGGCGGGCGAATCACAATGTCAGGAGATTGAGAACATCCTGGCTAACATGGTGAAACCCTGTCTCTACTAAAAATACAAAAAAAAAAAAAATTAGCTGGGTGTGGTGATGGATGCCTGTAGTCCCAGCTACTCGGGAGGCTGAGGCAGGAGAATGGCGTGAACCCAGAAGGCGGAGCTTGCAGTGAGCCAAGATCACGTGACTGCACTTGAGCCTGGGTGACAGAGCGAGACCCCGTCTCAAAAAAAAAAAAAGAATACTGGCAAACTGAATCCAGCAGCACATCAAAAAGCTTATCTACCACAATCAAGTTGGCTTCATCCCTGGGAAGCAAGGCTGGTTCAACATATGCAAATCAATAAACGTAATCCATCACATAAACAGAACCAATGACAAAAAACATGATTATCTCAATAGATGCAGAAAAGGCCTTCAATAAAATTCAACACCCCTTCATGCTAAAAACCCTCAATAAACTAGGTATTGATGGAACGTATCTCAAAATAATAAGAGCTATTTATGACAAACCCACAGCCAATATCATACTGAATGGGCAAAAACTGGAAGCATTCCCTTTGAAAACTGGCACAAGACAAGGATGCCCTCTCTCACCACTCCTATTCAACATTGTATTGGAAGTTCTGGCCAGGGCAATCAGGCAAGAGAAAGAAATAAAGCGTATTCAGATAGGAAGAGAGGAAGTCAAATAGCCTCTGTTTGCAGATAACATGATTGTATATTTAGAAAATCCCATCGTCGGCCCAAAACCTCCTTAAGCTGATAAGCAACTTCGGCAAAGTCTCAGGATACAAAATCAATGTACAAAAATCACAAGCATTCTTATACACCAATAACAGACAAACAGAGAGCCAAATCATGAGTGAACTCCCATTCACAATTGCTTCAAAGAGAATAAAATACTTAGGAATCCAACTTACAAGGGATGTGAAGGACCTCTTCAAGGAGAACTACAAACCACTGCTCAATGAAATAAAAGAGGATACAAACAAATGGAAGAACATTCCATGCTCATGGGTAGGAAGAATCAATATCGTGAAAACGGCCATACTGCCCAAGGTAATTTATAGATTCAATGCCATCCCCATCAAGCTACCAATGACTTTCTTCACAGAATTGGAAAAAACTACTTTAAACTTCATATGGAACCAAAAAAGGGCCCGCACAGCCAAGACAATCTGGGCAAGAAGAACAAAGCTGGAGGCATCACGCTACCTGACTTCAAACTATACTACAAGGCTACAGTAACCATAGCAGCAGGTTACTGGTACCAAAACAGATATATAGACCAATGGAACAGAACAGAGGCCTCAGAAATAACACCACATAGCTACAACCGTCTGATCTTTGACAAACCTGACACACACAAGCAATGGGGAAAAGATTCCCTATTTAATAAATGGTGTTGGGAAAACTGCCTAGCCATATGCAAAAAACTAAAACTGGACCCCTTCCTTACACCTTTTATAAAAATCAACTCAAGATAGATCAAAGACTTAAACGTAAGACCTAGGACCATAAAAATCCTAGAACAAAACCTGGACAATACCATTCAGGACACAGGCACGGGCAAAGACTTCATGTCTGAAACACCAAAAGCATTGGCAACGAAAGCCAGAATAGACAAATGGCATCTAATTAAACTAAAGAGCTTCTGCACAGCAAAAGAAACTATCATCAGAGTGAACAGGCAACCTACAGAATGGGAGAAAATTTTTGCAATCTATCCATCTGACAAAGGGCTAATATCCAGAATCTACAAAGAACGTAAATAAAATTACAAGAAAAAAACAACCCCATCAAAAAGCGGGTGAAGGATATGAACAGACACTTCTCAAAAGAAGACACTTATGCAGCCAACAGACATATGAAAAAATGCTCATCATCACTGATCATTAGAGAAGTGCAAATCAAAACCACAATAGGATACCATCTCACACCAGTTAGAATGGGGATCATTAAAAATTCAGGAAACAACAGATGCTGGAGAGGTTGTGAAAAAATAGGAGCACTTTTACACTGTTGGTGGGAGTGTAAATTAGTTCAACCATTGTGGGAGACAGTGTAGTGATTCCTCAAGGATCTAGAACTGGAAATACCATTTGACCCAGCAATTCCATTACTGGGCATATACCCAAAGGATTATAAATCATTCTATGATAAAGACACATGCACACATATGTTTATTGCGGCACTATTCACAATAGCAAAGACTTGGAACCAACCCAACTGTCCATCAATGATAGACTGGATTAAGAAAATGTGGCACATATACACCATGGAATACTATGCAGCCATAAAAAAGGATGAGTTCATGTCCTTTGCAGGGACATGGATGAAGCTGGAAACCATCATTCTCAGCAAACTATCACAAGATCAGAAAACCAAACACCACCTGTTCTCACTCATAATTGGAAGTTGGACAATGAGAACACATGGACACAGGGAGGGGAACATCACAAACTGGGGCCTGTTGCGGGGTGGGGGGTTAGGGGAAGGATAACATTAGGAGAAATACCTAATGTAGGTGACGGGTTGATGGGTGCAGCAAACCACCAGGGCACGTGTATACCTATGTAACAAAACTGCATGTTCTGCACATGTAACCCACAACTTAAAGTATAATAAAAAAATTGGAGTATACAATAAATATATACAAATTGCATTAGATTGAATTGATTATATTATTCAACTGGGTATATATTAAAATTGCTTTTTGATTGGAGAAGTTCATACATGTCAAAATTTTCAATGATCCGATATCAGAAACACAGTTTTATTATAACATCTTGTTTTGATATATACAATAAAAAGACTATGTTACAATAACTATAACAAGATCCCTATGCTCTCTATTTATTTTATTTATTTTCATTTTTGGATTAGTGACATAAGGGAGAAACATTATGTCCAAGTTTTTTGTTGTTATTGTTTATTACATAATTAGAAATAATTGTTACATTGAACAGTAGTATTGTTCAGTTTAGCTAGTACCAAGGTTGGAAAATCCTTCAGCAACATAAAAATACCATGCTGATGGTGCTGGTATATTAATAATATGCAAGTGGTTAGTTATTAGGCAGAAACAATGTCATTTTAAAATACCCCAAAAGTTATAAGTTAAATCCTATTCATTTCTCGTACTCTTAAGAATTCAGGTCAATAATTTCTCTGAAGACCTTGTGAAACTTTGGGTTACTACAGTTGGCAAGGAGACAGGTCTAGAACTTAGTTGCTTGGCAGGGTTCAGAAACTAATTTTTGTGAACTGAAATTGCCATTCAAAAATGTTTTTTATTCATTTGGATGCATTTAGAGATGCCCTTTCTCACTACTTCTCATTCCTATGATGAATGTTTGATATGTTGGCTTCCTCCAGAATATATGGAAGTTTCTATTATTACATTCGTTAATTTAACCAACTAAAGCAATAAGGCATGAAAAGGGCTTCTGTCGTATGCTTCAGTGGCATTATTATTTTTAAGCACATCTCCAGTGGTTGATGTCAATGAAAACGTTATTTGGTTATTACTGTTCTCCAACAATTAGTTCACAGCAAAATAAGTATAATTTAAAATATATAGAGAGTTTTAAAATGCAAGTAAAAAAGAATAAATTCCCAATACATCTGTTGCCTAATATACTTTAAAAATGTTTCTTTCTTTTGAGAATTTAGGCTTAAAAATATGTTTCATTCTAAATCCCAGCATAAGCTGGCTATAATGATTAGGGTACACGTGTAAAATCTGGGTTTTTCTAAGGATTGCAATGGGACCCTCCTCTAACTTGAAATAGTATTTATGTATGTTGGAATTTCTAGCTTTGGCAAAGCTTTATCTTGGAATACCACAAACTTTGTCGGTATGAGATTGCTTCAGACAAAGAAGAAAATGGGCATGACAGACACATATCACTGATAATCTAACCTGTCACAGAAGGAGCTCTTTGGCACAATATACGGCAACAGAATTACCTTTGTACCATCCCACTGAGGGATATAATTTCCTGTCTGAGGAACTGCTGTGAGAGGTGATATATTCAATGTTGCAGATGTTCCACATTCAAACACACAGGGTAGATTTCACAAAAGCTAACTCTAACAATGAATCTGTTATTATAACTGAAGGATCATGATATGTTCATTTCATGCCAAAAATATCATTTTTGATTGCCATCTCAAATAACTAAGAAAAAAGTGAAATAGTATTATCTTTGATGGACTGTGGGGGGAAGAGTCTTAGCTTTCTTAATTGAAAGCAGCTAAGTTTTATAAACTGTCTATTTTATTAGCTGCACAATCATGAATTCCACTTACAAAAATGTTGGAATGTCAGGGAAAGATGAATCATATCTGACTCTAGAGATTATTATAATTAAGTCAGAAGTATAGGCAAGACTTATCATAGGCATTTATTTATAAACAATTAAAATTTATAGGAATTTTCTTGGAAAGCTATACAATTTTCCATAATTATCTTATATAGTGGTTTATTGAATGTCTTCATAATTATTCTAAGTTATAATTAACACCTTAAGTTAGCTTCCTTAGTTTCTTTTATCCTGGAAGTTGGTCACCTGACCAAATAAAATCCTGATTTTTTCAGGTACTTTCAAAATCATAAAATACTTATTCGGGAAAAATAACTTTGGTATTATATTGTAATATTCATGCACGTTCATAACAGCTGCTTTTAGAGTCTCTTGAATTATTATTTTGTTTATTAAAGATCAAATTATTCTCTGAGATCTTTATGAAATACCCATAGTGTGTAAAAATATCATGGTCACCTTATCAACTGTGATTCTCCTTTCATAGTGAAGATTCTGCTAACACACTACATTGACTTGGAAGTAAAGCTTTTCTTGTTGGATGATTGGATTTTCTGTCTCTAATACACACACACAAGCACATACACAGGCATGCATGCACACACACTCCTGTTACGATTCAAACCCATTACTGCTCTTTTGTTTAGTAGACTACTTAACATGGTTGGCAAAAAGGAGGATGTAAAATAATTTCTAACATTACCTCACATATTTCTATTAAAAGTTTAATTACTTCATAGTCGTGCATGTTATTCTAATTCAATACAACATTTTGCTTGTTACCATAATTTTAGATTCTTAATTCTTTAAAGTTTTCATAAGCGTATTGTATAAAACTTAATGATTATCTGGGGAAAAATCAGAAAACTGAGGATATCTTTAATTAAGAGTAAAACAGTAAAAGTTTATATTATGATGTAGAGGTAAAAATTAATGTTCATATAAGTGCTTTATATTAAATTTACAGTAGCATGCAAAAAGAGCCCCTTTTTATACCTTTTACAAAATTATCATTGATTTCAATACTTTCTTATTAAACTTTTTCTAAATTATATCCTCAAAAGCTAAAGAAAGAACTTTAAGATACTTTAGGCTGTCTTTAGGATAATAAGGAAAAAAATAGCATTTCTGAAAAGATAGTAAAAGTAAAAATAAATTATAAATTATAACATTTTTCATTATATTATATAATAAGCCAAGAAATTAATCTCTGTTCAGGATTTTAATATTTGAGAACTCCCTGCTCTATAACATGAATAATTATCCTATAAAAAGCAATCATTTACTATACATTGGTATAACAAGGAATTACAGGTTGCAACATATAGAATATCTAGTAGAAAAATGCTGGTCACCCATTGTTATTGTCTGTTTTATATAAAGAAATGCAAACTTAAAAGTCCAAATACTGCTAGTATCATTGAAGTAACGAAAATTGCTAAAATAAGGTTAAAACATTATTGAAAGTGAAAATGAGCTCAAAATAGGTTTAAATACAGTTATGTTCTAAATCATATTTATCACATTTCCAATTTGCATCTTATAGAAAGCATTAAGTACCATTCCAGATTAGACTTTTGGACTATCCAACCTGTTATTCGGCCTGTACAAATGACAGCAAAACTATATCAGGAAAGACCCTGTTTGACCTCATAGATTTCTTCCTTAATGGTTTCGGCCAGTGAATTTTACTTTTCCTTTAAAATTGATCTTGGCTTTGTTATCTATAATTTTTTGAAGTCCTTTTGAATTACGTTTCAGTCTATTCTATATCATGAGGTTCTAAAAACACAAAGTAACCATCCATAACTCCTTAAATAATCAATTATAATTGTATGCGTTCTCATGTGACAAACCACATTCTTTGATCTACTTTCAGTTACCTTCTACCTGTTGCAAAAGATATGACATCTTTCTAGTAAATCCACATTATCTTACTCTTACTGTCCTCATTTTACCACGATGAACTAAAAAAGCCAAAAGGTAAATGGCAGATTTTTAACAGTAAACACATATACACAAAGTGCCATTTCTTAAAAAAAATAATTATAATACAAGTGCCTAGGTCCTTGAAATATATTAGGTGAAATAGAAATAGAACTAAATTTGGTCAAATGTAAGAGTTGAGATTATTTGAAAATCGAAAACTAATGTTTTCAGTGACCGAATGTAAACTTACTGAAGTGACTAAATCATGGCACACAAAGTATGCCCCTGCTAGCTGAGGAGACTATAGATAGATTAAATATATTATTTGCCTTAGTGTTCATTTAATAAAATATCCAGGAAAATTCCACTCCAATGTTTTCCCTTCATTGAGATACACTGTATACATTAAAGCATGTTATAATACATGTAAAAGGCATTCTTGTTCTAATAAATAAGCTAAAGTAAAATCCCTGGTATTATATATCTAGTATAGTTTGAGATATATGAAAGAACACGAGTGAAGATATCCCTTATGACTACATTGTTTATAAATGTGCTCTTATGCCAGAGGATTAAGAATCATTGAAATGAAATCCCATTCTAAGAATATCTTTAATATGAAATTCTTGAAGTACACACTGATGAATCTCACTTTCACATCAATCAAGAGAGACAGAGTGAGGGGCTGGGTGGAGGGATCACTGAAAAGAACAACTTTATTCATAACCAGTTATGCCTTATTCCTTATTAGAGCCACCCTATGGACTTCCTATTCATCCTGAGAGGTGACAGCGTGCTGGCAGTCCTCACGGCCCTCGCTCGCTCTCAGCGCCTCCTCTGCCTGGGCTCCCACTTTGGCAGCACTTGAGGAGCCCTTCAGCCTGCCACTGCACTGTGGGAGACCCTTTCTGGGCTGGCCAAGGCCAGAGCCGGCTCCCTCAGCTTGCAGGGAGATGTGGAGGGAGAGGTGCGAGCGGGAACCGGGGCTGCGCACGGAGCTTGCGGGCCAGCTGGAGTTCCGGGTGGGCGTGGGCTTGGCAGGCCCCGCACTCGGAGCAGCCGGCCGGCCCTGCCCACCCCGGGCAGCAGGATTTATTGCAAAGAGCGAAAGAACAAAGCTTCCACAGTGTGGAAGGGGACCCGAGCAGGTTGCCACTGCTGGCTCCGCCAGCCTGCTTTTATTCTCTTATCTGGCCCCACCCACCTCCTGCTGATTGGTAGAGCTGAGTGGTCTGTTTTGACAGGGCGCTGATTGGTGCGTTTACAATCCCAGAGCTAGACGCAAAGGTTCTCCACATCCCCACCAGATCAGCTAGATACCGAGTGTCCACACAAAGGTGCTCCAAGTCCCCACCAGAGTAGCTAGATACAGTGTCGATTGGTGCATTCACAAACCCTGAGCTAGACACAGGGTGCTGATTGGTGTATTTACAATCCCTGAGCTAGACATAAAGGTTCTCCTGCCTTTATGAGCCGTAACACCGCAAAGGTCTGCAGTTTCACTCCTGAGGCGGCAAGACCACGAACCCACCAGAAGGAAGAAATTCCGAACACATCCGAACATCAGGAGGAACAAACTCCAGACGCGCCACCTTAAGAGCTGTAACACTCACCACGAGGGTCCACGGCTTCATTCTTGAGGTCAGTGAGACCAAGAACCCACCAATTCCGGACACAATCCTACATCTTTTGACTGTATATTTCCGTCATTCCAAATAGATTAATAAAAATGTATCTTTCTTAAGAAAAAAACCAAACACCGCATGTTTTCACTCATAAGTGGGAGTTGAACAATGACAACACAGGGACACATGCAGGGGAACATCACACACTGGGGACTGTCAGGGGGTCGGGGACAAGACCAATATCTAATGCACGTGGGGCTTAAAACCTAGATGATGGGTTGATGGGTGCAGCAAACCACCATGGCACATGTATACCTGTGTAACAAACCTGCACATTCTGCAATGTATACCTATATAACAAACCTGCATATTCTGCACATGTGTCCAAGAACTTAAAGCAAAATTTAAAAAGAAACTTACAGAAGAAAACACAGGAAAATATCTTCATTATACCTAGGCAATGACAGATTTCTTAAACAAGGCACAAAGAGCACAACTCATAAAGGAAAACTAACAAATTTGCATATAATAACATTTGAAATTTTGTATGACAAAAGACACCATCAATAAACTAAAAAGACATGCACAAATTGGAAGAATTTAGCAATTCATATAGCAAAATAATTGTAATAGAATTTATGAAGAACTGCCACTGGATAAGTAAGGCAAAGCAGAAAGGAAAAATTAAGCAATTGATTTCAACAGAAGAGGAAAAAATGAGTGGCAAAAGAAAAATATGTAAAGGTGTTCAATTTTGCTATTAATCAGACAAAGGCAAATGAATAATGCTAGGCTGTTTTATACCTATTGGCTTGAGAAAAATTGAAAATTGATATTATGTATTGGTAAAAGTGTAGAGGAATAGAAATTCTTGTACACTTCTGGAAATATAAATGACTCCCAATACTTTGGGAGAAAAAAAAAAAAGGAAAAAGAAAAAATCCTAACCAAGATATTCTCAATGCTATCTTCACCTTTTCACTTCCATAAGACCATTGTTTCAGAAACTCTTTATCAGGTTTTACATAGTTCTCAAACTCAAATAACATGGAATTGGTGGTTATGTTTTCCAAACTTAGTTTCTTTAGAAAATTATCCCCTTTTCTCTCCACAAAGTGAAGTAGATTATAGCTTCCTAAATTTCACTCTTATAGAAAAAAACATGCATAAAGAAGCTACAACTTCAAAGTGGTTAAAGCCTGGTGGAATCAAAAACACAGTTGGTCATCCTTTTATACGAAAAAAAGTACATTTATTTGGCAAAAATTTCAACAATAAAAATTCTATTGTATATAGTTCTTAATTTAACTAAACAACTGCTTCTTCTCCATGTTTGTAGCACAAAACCGAGAACAGTTCTCCCCAATTTCTTTCGATATAATAGAGTTAAAGCTAGAACACAATTGTAGACCACAATTCACCATTACAAAGTGCACAACAGAAATGGACAAATACCACTGTAATCCCAACATATTCACCTTTGAGTAAGTTCTACAGCAGCACTGATTTTACAATGATTCCACAGTCATTTTACAATAATAATAAAGTTATTAATAAACAAGTACTACAATAGTCATTCTACAGGGAACAGTCCAAGTGGCCTCAGCCTCTAGAAACAAGAGGAAACAAGCCTCTTATATTGTCTATAAGAGGCTAGACAATAAGAAACTTCCTTTTTCAGACTTCAGCACTAAAGTTGCAATTAACTTCATTTTCAACTGAGAAAGAGAAAAGCCTGAGACCTAAGACCAGTTAGAAAGCTACAGGACAAAGTAGTAAGGGTCCAGAAATGAGTGTATAGAAATACTCTAGGCTGAGTCTAGAAATCTTGCCACCCAGATAGCAAACGTCCTTTCCTTGAATAAGAGCCTTCTATGTATCCATATGCAGAAAATGCTTTTTGCCAGGCACTATAAACAAAATGGTTTGGGCGTTTCCTTGAGTGTTTACGGGCCCTCCTCAGTAAGGTTACGATGAATGTTTTTATACCACTTCCTTCTAAATGCCCCTGGATTCATGTATGCCTTAGGAACCTCAACTCCTTCCTATTTTAGTTTATTTCAGAAACAACAGTTTGGGAATGTGGGCCTGTTTCCTTTCTGGTAACATGGAAACTTATAATATGCAAAGTAATAACCCATGACTATTGTTTGTTAAGATGCCTAAATAAGATACGGCATCTTATATTTAAAATTGCCAGTAATTAGATAACAATATAAAAAATGGCCCTAGAAGCAGACAAATCATGATCTATTTCACACTAGAGCAGAATCAGAATCAGGCTAGAGTCCAATTTATAGCCCTAGATTCCTCAGGTTTTAGCTCCCTAAAAGCAGAGAAGTAAAATTACAGCTCTCTGGGGTAGTATCTTTCTGTTCGTATCCTAGTGAAAATCTGCCTGTACTTGTGAAAAAGCTGCCTTTTTAAGACAATAGGATTATTTTCATGCGGGACCGGTCTGAAGCTTTTTACATTCCTACCCCACTCCCTACCAAACCAAGAAATTTAAAAGGAAAAATACATAAATGTATTAAAAAGATAAAATAATAGAATACCTGGATCTACTTCACTTTTTGCTGACATGTTATATATTGATTCATTTTCTTTCTTTTTAAATTATCTTCCTTTGGTTTCTTCCAGGGAATTTTTTTGTCAGTTTTTTTCTATTTTTTGTTATGTTTTTACTTTTATAATTAAAATCAATAAAAAGTATTCTCTAAAACCAACTATCTAACCAACAGCCAATAAGAGAAAATTAACATTTGGAATTTTCTTACCTTTATGCAGACTTTTCACTGCTCAGAGCAAGAAGAGTTCACCTTTATGCAAAAAAATGTTCATGAATTTACTGTACTTTGGCTCTCATGGTCAACTCCCTGCAAAGAATAACTACTTCTTCAAAATTGGCCAATAAACTGTACAAAAAGGAATATAAGAATTGAAAGCTTCACAAAACTCCAACAATAAAATGAGGGATGTTATAGCCATTTTTATAGAGGCTTTCTTTTCTATCACTCATACTAATGAACAGAGAAGATTACCGAGAGAGAGGGAGAAAGAGGGGTGACTTATTATATGTAGCAACCCTGGGACTAAGAAAGTTGGCTAGAAAGCCAAAAACATTTATCTCTGAAATCTCAGCTTGATGTTTAATCTCAGATGTATTAGTCTGATGGTCTAAAGAGTTCAAATCCAGGGGGAAGGAGAGTTAAGAAATCTTTGCTGCAGTGTTCATTATGATGGCACCTTAGTGTCTTTCACCTGGAAACACTGAAATATCTGACAGAATTTAGTCCCAATAATTAAGATTGGTTCTCATAAAACCACTAGAAAGAAAGATGCCTCTATAAAAGATAAGCATACAAATAAGTTGGGGTGAACATAAACAGGTTTACCACAGTACATAAGGGACTGACTACTTGGGTTTTTGGAACATCATCAATCATGGATTAGGCTCTTGCTTCTTCTCTAGCTCCAGCTCGGCAGCCCTTTGTACTGCTGCATCGACTAGCAGCAGGAAGCTGCTGAAGTCGGCGTGCTCCTCTGGAGACACAAGTTCTGGAGAAGACGGGGATGTGACAGAAACCTTGACCTTTTTCTTCGGCTGGGCTATTCCGGTGAGCTTCTGGCTAGGGGCCGACTCCGGATCTGGTTGCTTCTCTCTTGACATCTGGCCCTTTGGCAAGGGCCACAGGGGCAGGCTTTGTACATTGTCTGGACCACTGGGCCCTGACTTGGCCGGCACAGACGCCTCGGTGCTCTGCAGGTGGGTGGCATGGGCATCTTTGCCCGTTTTGTGGCCAATGATGGGGTCGTTTCTACGCTGTTGAAGCATATCCGGGAGAATGCGTCTGCGAGCATTGATAAACCAGTTAGAAATCTGCAACAAAGACAAATTGGTCTTCTCTGACAGCATTTGCTTCTCTTCTTCTGAAGGGTAGGCCTTAAACCGATGCTTATACATCCAGTCGCGGAGGATCTTAACGGACTCGGCTGGCAAGTTTCCCTTGCGCTTCTTCTTGTGCTCTGGTAAGGCAAGAACTCTGCCTGTATCTGCGTTATTTCTCGACATGATTGAGGTGTCTTGGGCTGGGCTTTGGGTCTTCGCCGGGCTGTCTTTTTCCACCGGGCTTTGGGTCTCAGCCGGGCCGTCCGCAGCGGCCTCCATATTCCAAGAGGCTTATCGTTACTATATTGAGAATCACAGACAACTGAGTTAGGACAAAGGTAGGTTTGGGAGAGCCACTTTAGAAAGCATGGGCAGGTCTGTAAGGGGAATTCTCACCTGTTGTTTCCGAGAAAGACAAACAGCGTTGCTAACAGAGTTGCTAACAGCCGAGCTGGTTATCTCAGTGACGTCACATCCTTTCTTCTCCACGCTGCCCCTCCCCTACACTTCCTGGAGTTCTTTTCCCATTGTTCTTGCGTATTTTCTGTAACTTCCAATGCACTTGATTTCACGCAGTTTATAGCTCTCCAGAGTTTTCTCTGCTGTTGTCACCAGTTTCCACTAACTGACGAACTCTATTTCTATTAGTGTAAATACGCCTACCACTTTCTTCCTATTTGATTTTACTCTGGTATTGTTCTTCCCGTTATTACTTATAATTGTCTCACTGGCTCATCTAGATATATCAGGAACAAATTGTTGATTAGCTACTAACCTCAATAAAAGAGTGTAACTACTGTACTTTGACTCCCCTCTTCCATTCTTCCATGTTCAAAGCAGATATTAATAATAATTTTGAACTAGACTTTTGCTTTTGATGCCTTGCTGCTTAAATTTTTCTTCTCTATGGCCTTAAAATCTTTGTCTTTTTTTTTTTTTTTGATATGGAGTCTCGCTCTGTTGCCCAGGCTGGAGTGCAGTGGCACAATGGCGGCATCTCGGCTCACTGCAACCTCCATCTCCCAGGTTCAAGCAATTCCCCTGCCTCAGCCTCCCGAGTAGCTGAGATTACAGGCATCTGCCACCACGCCCGGCTAATTTTTTGTATTTTTTGTACAGGCGGGTTTCACCATATTAGCCAGGATGGTCTCGATCTCCTGACCTCATTATCTGCCCGCCTTGGCCTCGGCCTCCCAAAGTGCTGGGATTACAGGCGTGAGCCACCGCACCCAGCCAAAATCTTTGTCTTTTGAATGACTTTGCTATTGCCTGTCAGTACCACTGAGGTCTTTGTGTCTCTTCCTTGGACTCTGATATCTAGTTGTGATGTTTCTCTTTAAACTTCAGTCAGAAATTCAGGGATCTTTTAGTAATGTGGAATAAGTGGAATAAGATAGAATTCAAGAAATAATGGCCATCACAGACAGTTTATTTAAATATATTTTTTAATTTTTTTAATTTTTTATTTTTTGAGATGAAGTCTCGCTCTGTCACCCAGGCTGGAGTGCAGTAGTGGCGCAATCTCGGCTCACTGCAACCTCAACCTCCCAGGTTCAAGTGATTCTCCTGCCTCAGCCTCCCAAGTAGCTGGGATTACAGACGTGCACCCCCACACCCAGCTAATTTTTGTATTTTTAGTAGAGACAGGGTTTCACCATGTTTGCCAGGTCTCGGACTCCTGACCTCCAGTGATCCACCCACCTCAGCCTCCCAAAGTGCTGGGATTACAGGTGTGAGCCACCGCAGCCGGCCAAATATTTCTTGATATTTCCAGCATGTGGAAATCACCCGGTAAGTCAAATGAAAATAATTTGTAAATTTCAAATTTTCATTTCTAGTAGCTGAAAAATAAGGCTTGACTTTTTTCAAGAACACTATGATTCACTTTGAAGACAATTACCACCAGCATCAACTCTGACTCCTTAATAATACTGTATGGTATTATTTATTTTTAATTTCATATATTTTTCAGAGTCCTAGCTATCGTCTGAAGCAGCATATATTATCCACAGTTTCCTTTTGCCCTTAAGAGTTCTTACTTGTCACTGGGCTGGATTTCAGAATGTTGTCTACTGATCCTTTGGCTGTTGGTAATCTTCCTTACTGGTACTGACTTTCATCACTTAAAATTTATTGTAAGGGAGACCTACTGAATAACACAATCAAATCTAATGAACAACTTAGTAAAGCTCCCAATAACCAATAATTGGGTATGTTGGGTACAATTGAAGGTCTCCTTTGGAATACTCTAGAAAAGAATGCTACTATTTCCACTGGACTTTTGGGCTTTTGAAACACAGAAGATAAGATTTTCTATGCATAGTAAAAACTCAGTTCCTGCAACTGTTTCTCACCAACACATTTATGCCTCATGCTCGCTGAAAGTATTTTTGTGTGTCAGCATGACTTGTAGTAACTTACCCTCCCTCACTTATTACTCCTATATGTTCTTTCTATGTATGGGGATTCAGGCCTCTGCTCAAGGATTGACGTAGAATTGCACATATTTAACGAATTGCAGATTTCTTCTCACTGATATGATCTGGGTTCTTGATTTTTAATGTCTACTTTATGCATCCCCTCTAAAAAGAATATTATGATGGCTCAAAATTATTCCCAGGAGATTTGGAGACTGTCTTTTCCTCTATCAACAGATACAGGAACATGGAGATATCTGGAAAGTAGGTGAGAAATTGGAAATGAATCCCATTGCTTTTGACACAAAAAATGTGACTTCCTTTTATGATGAAATAATTGAAATGCTGAATAGAAACTGTATTACCTTTCTTCCAGTTTTTGGTGATACAAAATTATGAATTATGGGTATCTCTGAGAGAAAGATAGATTGCTTCCACCTACTTCTTTAAAACTTGTAAGAAGATAAAATGATCTAAATAGTGTCTATCAGTTTTTATCTTCCTTTATTGTTTCTTTTTATGTGAAGTACACAGATCTCATTGTAAACAGTTTGTCTATTTATAAGCATTGATTTATTTACTTGTGACTCTGAAAAGTGCCTTCTCTTGACTGTATTAGGGATGCCAATGGCATTACACTATAATAGACACTTTATTTCTCAAATTATAAAAGACCATAATGAGACTGAGGTCCTTAATATTTTATTGCGTATTGTTTCCAGTAATATAATTTTCATATGAGTATTCTACAAACCAAATTATGTTGATCTACTTGTAGAGTTTTAGAGAAAGCTTAATTTTTGGCATCGAAGAAATGGGAGACTATAAAACCAAATTAAAAAACAAAAACAAGGCCAGGCGTGGTGGCTTACGCCTGTAATCCCAACACTTTGGGAGGCCGAGGCGGGTGGATCACGAGGTAAGGAGTTCGAGACCAGCCTGGCCAGCATAGTGAAACCCCTGTCTCTGCTAAAAATACAAAAAATTAGCCAGGGTTGATGGCGGGTGCCTGTAATCTCAGCTCCTCGGGAGGCCGAGGCAGGAGAATCGCTTGAACCCAGGAGGCAGAGGTTGCAGTGAGCCAAGATTGTGCCATTGCACCCAGCCTGGGCGACAGTGCAAGACTCCATTTCAAAAAAACAAACAAGCAAACAAACAAAAAAAACAAAAACAAAAATCAAAGCACAGTGAACTAAGCAAAAATTGGTGATGTGGTAACTGAATTTCACCAACTCTAAAAATAAAGAATGTCCCGGGAGGCAGAGCTTGCAGTGAGCCGAGATCACGCCACTGCACTCCAGCCTGGGTGACAGAGCAAGACTCCGTCTCAAATAATAATAATAATAATAATAATAATAATAATAATAATAATAATAAAAATAAAGAATGTTGTCAAGGGCATACTGCTTTTTCATATCGTAAAGTATCTGGATAATTCCTGCCAGGTATTTTACACTTTGAAATGAATTGAAGAAAATGTCAGGAAACCAGCATTAAACCCCTGTTGACAGAAATGGTGGCATGTTAAGAGTAAGAAGTATAGGAAGTTCTAGCAGATTCAACTAATATACCTTAATTTGGAGGGATGAAAGTTGGAAGTATGGCCTGACTGTAAGAGATACCATAGAATTATCCCCCAATAAGACTTATGGATCTTACAGCTTATTCTATTCATTTTCCTCAACTTAAGGAGCAAATGATTCTCTTTGTAAAAGATGTAAAGAAGCTTTCCAGATCTTTCTTTATAAATATGGTATGACTCGGATGTGAAAATCTCACAAAGCATGACAGAAATATCTGTGGCAGATTCACTTATAACATCATAAATTATTACTGGATAGAATGTACATTCATGTAAAATATAAAACACATGAACAAATGGAAACATCTAAAATGCAACATGATCTAACATTAGAATATATATTTTGAGAATTAATCACATTCATGGATAAAAGAAAAAATGTCATCTTGTTGGAGTTTAAGTAACTATTTTAATGAATTTAAAATAAATTTCTGGTCCGGGCACGGTGTCTCATGCCTATAATCCCAGCACTTTGGGAGGCCGAGACAGGTGGATCACCTGAGGTCAGGAGTTTGAGACTAGCCTGGCCAACATGACAAAACCGCATCTCTACTAAAGAATACAAAATTAGTGAGGCGTGGTGACGTGCACCTGTAATCCCTACTTGGGAGTCTGAGGCAGGGAGAATTGCTTGAAGCCCAGGAGGTGGAGGTTGCAGTGAGCCAAGTTGGTGCCACTGCACTACATCCAGCCAGGGCGAGAGAGCGAGACTCCATCTGAAAAACAAACAAACAAATAAATAAATTTATGATAAACATATTTTAATGAAATAAGGATAAAAGGATCCTTCCTTTGTATAACATAGATTAATAAAAAGTTAAAATCTCCAATATACAGCCTTATACTTAACAATAAAACAAAAATGATTCTTTCAATTTCATAAGTAAGGCAAAGATGTTTATTTTCACTACTATAAAATTGCTTAAAAATTTGATCCAATAGAATTAATCAAACAAAAATAAATACAATAAATATGCTAAAAGGAGGAAAAATATTATTATTTGTTGATAGCATGATTTGCCACTTAGGAAATACCTAAAAATCAATTGAGAAACCATTATAAATAATAAGAATTATGTAAGGTGCTCAGTTACAAACAAATAAAAGATAAACATTAACATGTATCAATAATCGTAATTTAGAAAATATATTGGGAAAATTACCTAGTTCATAATCATATCAAGAATAAAGATACAAAAAGATATAGGCCTAAAATTAGAAATTATTGTCTACACCCTATGCAAATAAAAATAGAAAATTTTATTTAATAACATAAAATGGATGTTAAAAGTTAAAATACATTCTATTTTACCCTAGGAAATTTCACTATTTTAATAAATTTAATTCTCTTTAAATTTACTTTAATGACATATTCCTATCAAAATCACAAGTGATTTCCCATATGTTTTTGTGGCTTGATAGCTCATTTCTTTTTAGCCCTGAATAATATTCCATTATATGGCTATATCACAGTTTATCTATCCACCTACTGAAGGACATCTTGATTGCTTTCAAGTTTAGGGACTTATGAACAAACATCCATGTGCAGGTTATTGTGTGGGCATACATTTTCAACTCATTTGGAGAAATTTCAGAGGTTGCAATTGCTGGATTATATGGTGGTAAGAACATGTTTAGTTCTATAAGAGACTGCCAAACTGTCTTCTAAAATGGCTGTACTATTTTTCATTCTCACCAACAATGAATGAGAATTCCTGTTGTTTCACATTCTCACCAGCTTTTGATGTCCATATTGTTGATTTTAGTCATTCTACTAGATGTGTAGTAGTATCTCATTGATTTATATTGCAATTCCCTAGTGACTTAGGCATCTTGTTTTTATACTTATATATAAAATCAGTATATCTTCTTTGGTGAGGTGTCTGTTTAGATCTTTTGACGATTTTTAATCAGATTGGTTTCCTTGGTTGAATTTCAAGAGTTTTTCTGCATATTTTGAATACCAGTTCATTACTAAGTATATGTTTTTTAATATTTTCTGCTGGTATGTGCCTTGTTTCTTAATTTTCTTAACAGTGTTTTTCACAGAACAAAATGTTTTAATTTTAATTAAATTCAACTTATAAATTCTTTTTTCATAGATTGTACATATGATGTTGAACTTAAAATGACATCACCAAAACTGAGGCCATCTAAACTTTCTCTTATGTTATTTTCTAAGTGTTTCATAATTTTGCACTTTACATTTAGTTCTATGATCCATTTTAGGTTAATTTTTGTAAAAGGTGTAAGTACTGTGTATTTACCTTAAACTAATCTGTATCTTTATAATATACATCTCTTGTACAATTCCTTGTATTGGTCTTGCCCTTTTGTACAATCTGGAAATTGCTTCTATTTAATTGGAGCTATTAATCTTCTTATATTTAATATAATAATAATAGTTATATTTGGTCTACCACTTTAATATTTATCTTTTTACAACATATTTTTGTTTCTCTGTTTTCCCTTATTGTCTTCTTTTTAGTTCATTAAATATTTGTTAGCATTTAATATTAACATCTATTAGCTTTCTGAAATACCTATTACAATTACATTTTAGAGGTATCTCTAGTGATAGCAATATATATTTTTAAGTTTTTACAGTCTCCATAGATTTCGTATTCTACCACTTTGCAAAAAATATAAGAACATTGTGCTTGGATATGTTCATTCTCTATACCTCTATCTTCTAATTTTATAGTTTTCATGTGTATTATATCGAAATATGTTCAAAACTATATTAAAATGTTATAACTTTTGTTTAAATCAGTTACGTGTCTATTTAAGTAATTAAGAGGAAATATAGTCTGTTAGTTTCCTGACATCTTCAGAATTTTCTGTGTTTTCTGTTCATAACTAAAAGTCTGATTTACATCTGGAATAATTACTCTTCAGCCAGAAAAACTTTCTGTAGCAGTTATTCTCAGGTATTTATAGAGATGACAGATTTTCTTAGTATTTAGTTTTTATTTTCTGAGTATGTCTTCACTTCACTTCCATTATTAAAGGATATTTTTGCTAGATATAGAATCAGATTTTCAGTTAATGGTTTTATTTATTGTTGAGCCCATTAAAAATCTCCCTCCACTGCCTTTCCATTTTCATTATTTCTGAATTATAGTGATAACTGATTCACATTTTTCATGGCCTTTTAAGGTCAGTTTTCAAATGTCTGAACATGATTTATTTTCTGTTTGTTGTCTCTTCTTCATGTTTTCTGAATTTCTTAACTCTACACATATATGAATTTTCTTAAAATGAAGATTTTGGTCTTTATTTCTTCAGATAGTATTTCTGTCCCATGCTGTCACTCCTCATTTTCTGATACCTTCATTTTATATATTTTAGACTTTTTCACACTTTACCAGAGATTATTGTAGATCTACTCATTTTTTAAAATATTTTTTCTCTATTTTTCTGATTGGATAATTTATATCAATCTATCTATTTTTTCTTTATTTTCCTGATTGGATAATTTATATCAATCTATCTTTAAGTGAATGTATGTTTCTTCTTTTATTTGTAATCTGACATTATATAGGAACCTAGATAGCTAGGTTCTGTGTTTGTTTACATATTGTAATTTTAATCTGAGCATGTCTGCTTTTAAAAGTCTCTACCTCCTTAAAATTGCCTATCAATTTATTCATTAAGCATATTTTCCCAAAAGTCTGTGAGTTACAGTAATTACAGCTGTTTTAAAGAACTGTCTGCTAATTTCAAACATCAACATTATGCCTGAGTCAATCTCCATTTGTTGTTTTTTTGTTTTTAACCTGAGCATGAAATATTTTTTCTGTTTCTTCATATGTCTAATAATTTTGGATTATATCTTAGACATCATAAAATATTGCAGAGATTCTTGATTCTATTATATTCATTGAAACAATGGAGTTTTTTTCATTTGTTGTAGTTTCAGCCCGAAATTAACTTGGCTGGGTATATTTTTTTTTAAATGTTGACTGCCCTGGATGGAGAATCAGCTGAAATTAAAAATATATATGTCTTAGCCTTACCTGGTCTGTGTGGCATCTGACCTGACTTTGCATACTTCTTGGGTCAGCTAGAAATTTGGGCAATATTTATACATAAATTTTGGGACTCGTCTTCTCTGGAATTTTTCTCCAACATTTCCTCTTCAATTTACAGTTGCTGTGGTAGCCTAAACTCTACCACATGTGGATACCATATGTGGATAGTCGTGCAGACAAGACTGTGGAATTCCATGTAAATAGAGGTAACTTACGTGAAGTGAACTGGAGCCTGTCTTCTTTTTCATAAGAAGCCTTTAAAATATCAGAAACTTACTGTTATATTAAGCTGTCGACTCCTTTGTGGTTTTATCATGCTTTTTGTTGTGCTCTAATGTTGTTAGATTTAAAGAATATTTTAAATATTTTCTCCATAGTTTATAGTTATCTGAAGTAGTATTGCTCTGATAGGTACTCTTAAAGAGGGAATTCTGGATATTCTTTAAATATACAGATATCTACTCAATATGCTTTATCAAGCTAGGATTGTTCTATCTTGGAAAATAGTAGTTATTAAATATAATACGTCACAATTTTACTAAAATTTGTAACAAAAGAATATTTTATCTCCATTGCTTATTTTCATATCATCATAAAGAATTTTGATTTGAATGTGACTTTAGAGAGAATCTGTGTGCGTATGAAATTTTTTAAAAAAGGCTCCGTAATGGAAACTAATTTTTCCAATCATGAAGAATATTTTGGTGTAAAACCTGGACTGAAACCCAAGCCTCATGATTACCATCAAATATACCCCACTTTGACTCAGTAGTTATTTGATTTAATGGCTGAGATTAAGAAAACGCTCTTTTTGTTTTTTTCTACTATAACAATCTTTGCTAGTATATTTTTAGAAGCAGGAAAATATCTGTAAATTTTTAGTTTAATCAGTAGTTTAAAATTATACATTAATATAAGTTTGAACTAAGGCTAGAGTTAATATAATTTTTGGCAAGTATGAATACAATCTACATATTATTTTCATTTGAAGATTTTGAATAAGTGTAGATATTATAAGACACAAACAGTAAACTTAAATGTAGTACAAAAATATATGTTGTAATAGTAAATACATCAGTATGCATATTTTAATAATTGATATTATACTCTGAATAAAGAGTTGAACTTTTAAATAATAGTATTTTGCCTTTGGCTTTGAATATCACCTTTTACCTACAGGTGAAGCAATTATCTGGGGATGAATAAATGACCAACATGCAGAATATTAAAAAGGTCAATATAGTAGAAAAGCATAATTAATAATATATGAACATTAAATTTCCAGTATCATAGTCATATTATAAAGGTTACATTAAAAAGTTGAAAACATAGCGAGACATATGTAGATACTTATGACAAAAGGAAAATATTTATCATTTTATTTTATGAACATCAGTTGTAAATTAAATGTACTACCTAGGGACAGCAAATAACTTTTACCCAGTGTGCTATACATCTTTTATTTTTGCATAGTTGTGCTTTGTAACTCACTCTATTAAACTTTTCATTGTTTTCTCATTGTTTGGGATTGTGGAGAGGAAATGAAAAAATCTTCTTTTGCCATTTCGGAAGGCATGACATTCACAGGTTGTTATGCCAGCTTCCTAAAATAGCTATTTTGGTTAGGCATTTAAACTATTTACTGTATTGTGGTGCCAAGAATAATGTCTCAACATTATTGTACTCATATCTTTTAAACTAAGTGTAACAGAAGTGTAAGGTGTTATATCTTATTTAAAACTTATACCAATTAATCAGAAAATCTAATTTCTTTCAAGGCAAAATTTATATCAGTGTTTCCATTCCATAGAACTCATGGAATTAGTTGGCTTTCAAAACTTTTTTCCCCCATATATTGGAAAAGTTGAGAAAATTTAAAACTAATTTTATATAACTTCCCAAAATCAACATGCATTTTCAAATCTATGTAGTTCATTGCATTTTCTCTATCTTTAGTGTACTTTAATTGGTAGTGAAACCTGAAAAACTACTAACAAAAAATTGTATATACATATACTTGTTCCTTCAGTGAGCAAGATGACAGACTGGCTTATTGAACAGTCTTCTTGTTTTCTAGTTCAGCAGACGATTTCTAGGGTGTATTCTCCTTTTGAAGAAGTGTGGTAGTTAGAAGAAGAGGAAATTGGTTAACAGAATATTGAAAAGTTAGTTTTATTTTATGGAAAATTCTCATTAAAACAGAGCAAATATGAAAAATTAGGTATATAAGCAGACAGATTTTAGTTACAGTTCTGAATTCCTGTTCTGTCCCCTCCCTCACCTTTTGTTTCACCTGTGTGACAAATATATTCTTTTTTTCTCTTATTTGCTTCTCATTTCATCTGATTATTTTCATCTCTCCTTAAAACATTTTAAATTTTTTGTGTTCTATTTTAATAGTCTATATTCTGGGTTTTTTTTAAAAGAAATGATTTGTCTCCAGTCCAGTCATTATCCAGTGTCTCACATTAAAGATTTTTGACTTCTTGTTACTATTCCTCTACTAGGCTCCTAATGTACCACTGACTCTATGTTCAATTCAAAATTACAGTATTCATCTTATCATGCAGTCTGAGAAAATAGGGCCAGGGTTTATCTTATCTTGTGGCATTGGCCCAGCAAACGGAATGAAGACAAATTTGGTAGTGGTGTGAAAGGATTCTGTGCTCTAAGTAAGTGCATTTGTTGTAACTTTACCATTGTGGAATAGGGATTATTGAGACCTGAAGGATAACTAATTTTTTAAAAATTAATGACTTTTCATAAACAAAACATGAACATATAGGTAGAGAGAAATCACAGACTTAGCCATATTGCGTCAATATTTATCTATTGAATTTTACTTTGACTCAAAGATGAGTCAATTTGGAAACAAAAGTGAGATTTATAATAGCAGGGACTATTGTGAATTTTATTTAACTTTTTATTTTGAGCTAATTGTAGATGAATATGCCATTGTAAGAAATAATACAAAGAAATCCTGCCTGCCCTCACCCAGTATTCCCCAGTAGTTACGCCTTGCATAACTGGAAACAATAACACAACCAGGATATTGACATTGATAAGATTCATTGACATGGGCTGGACGTGGTGGCTCACGCCTGTAATCCCAACACTTTGGGAGGCCAAGGAGGGCGAATCACAAGGTCGGGAGATCGAGACCATCCTGGCTAACACGGTGAAACCCCGTCTCTACTAAAAACACAAAAAATTTGCCGGGTGTGGTGGTGGGCACCTGTAGTCCCAGCTACTCGGGAGGCTGAGGCAGGAGAATGGCGTGAACCCGGGAGGCGGAGCTTGCTGTGAGCCGAGATCACACCACCGCCCTCCAGCCTGGGAGACAGACTCCATCTCAAAAAAAAAAAAAAGATTCATTGACATTGACTCATTTTTGTGTGTTATGTCTACCTAATTTTATGCAGTTTTATTACATGTTCAGATTTCTGTGACCACCACAATAATCAAAATATGGAAGAGATCCATTAAAAGGATCCCTCCTGCTGCCATTATAGCAAGTCACCTCATCCTTCCCTAACTTCTGGCACATGCTAAGCTGTTTTCATTTTTAATATTTTGTCATTTTAAGAATGTTACATAATATCTTATAGATGGAATAATTGAGTATATAACTGTTTTAGATTGGCATTTTTTTCATTCAGTATAATTACCTTTAATGTAATACTAGTTGTTGAGTGTCTTGATAGGTCCTTTTTATTGCTGAGAAATATTCCATAGTATATGTATGCTAACTGCAGCACAACAATTCATCTAATGAATTGCATTTTGGTTATTTACAATTTTTATATTACGAATAAAGCTGTTATGAACATTTATGTAAGGAATTTTTATGAAATCAAACAAATTCTGGGATAGATATTCAAGTATAGAATTCCTCGGTTTTACAGAAGGCACATGTTTGCCTTTCCATAAAGTTGCCAAAATTTTCGGAATGGTTCTATCATCTTACATTGCTTGAAGCAATGTATTAGTATTTTGTTTTCTCCACATTGTCACCATTTGGTATTGTCACTACTTTTAATCACTCTGATAAGTGTGCTGTGATATTTTAATATGGTTGTTATTTGCATTTCCCTAATGACTAATGATGAATACAATTTGATTTACTATATGCCATGTGGATATCCTCTTGAGTAAAATGTCTGTTTATGCCTTTTGCCCTATTATAATTGGATTCTTTGGCTCTTTTCTGTTGAGTTTAGAGTGTTAAAAAAAAAAGTCTATCCTAATACTAGCATTTGCTGGACAGGTGGTTTCAAAATATTGTATTAGAGTCAACATATTGTATTTCTTAAAGACTTTATTTTTTAGAAAAGTTTTAAATTAAAAACATTAGCAGCTACTTCAGAGTTCCTTCATACCCTACCCCCAGATCCACATTTCCCCCTATTATAAACACTTTGCATGAATGTGGCACATTTTCAACAATTTATGAAGTAATATTGATGCATTAATATTAACTAAAGCCCAGAGTTTACGTTAAGGCTCACATTTTGCGTTGTATAGTTCTTTGGGTTTTGGGTTTTGTAAATGAATAATGCCATGTATCTAGCAATACAGTGCCATAGACAACACTTTCACTGCCTTGAAAATCCTCTGTGCTTTACCTATTCATATTCCACTACAATATGCATTCAAGGTTTTTCTATATCTTTTCATGGCTTGCTTGCTCATTTCTTTTTATCACTAAATAATATTCTGTTGTATGAATGTATGATTGTTCATCCATTTATCTTGGTGACTTCTGTTTTAGGGCAATTACACTTAAAGCTGCTATAAGATTTTATATGCAGATTTTTCTGTTGACATAAATTTTAATTGGATAAATACGTAGGTGTGCAATTGCTGGACCATATAATGAGACAATTTTTACCTTTGTAACATACCGGCAAATTGTCTTTCAAAGTGCCTACAACATTATGCATTGCTATCAGCAAAAAATGAAAGTTCATGTTACTCCCCATTCTGACTAGCATTTGGTATTGTCAGTCTTTTGGATTTTAGCTATCTTAATAGGTATTTAAGAGTAGTTCATTATTGTTTATTTTATTATTCCCTAATGACATATGAAACTGCACATCTTTTCATATGATTATTTGCCATCTCTATATTTTTTGATGAGGCATCTATTCGAATGTTTTGCCTATTTTTAATTGGGTTGTTTGTTTTTTTATTATTGATTTTTAAGAGTTCTTTGTATAATTCGAATATAAGTTTTATTTTTAATCACATAGTGCTTTGCAAATATTTTTAAAATGTCTATAGACTTGTCTTTTCATTCTTTTAACAGTATCTTTCACAGAGTAGAAGTTTTTTATTGTAATGATGTGCAACTTAATTTTTTCTTCCATGGATAGTATTTTTGGTGTTGTATCTAAAAAGTCATCGTAACCACAAAACACAAGGTTACCTAGAGTTTCTCTTATGATTTTTGAAACAACATTTTATAGTTTTCTATTTCATATTTAGGTCTATAATCCATTTAGTGGTGTGTGTGCATGTGTATGTGTGAAAGGTCTAAGGACTGTGTCTAGACATTTTTTTGGCATATAATGTCTACTTGTTCCAACACCATTTGTAGAAAAAGTTATCCTTTCTCCATTGGATTGTCTTTGCTTTTTACTGTCCAAGATCAGTTGACCATAGTTTTTCAGGTATATTTCTGGGCTTTCTATACTGTTTCATTGATCAATTTGTTCACTTTTTAAATCAATACCACACTGTCTTTGTTTCTTATCATTATAATATTTCTTAAAGTAGTGTATTATCAGTTCTCTGATTTTTTTTCTTTTTCAGTCTTTTGCTGTCTATTCTGGCACTTTTGCCTTTCCATATAAACTTTAGAATTAATTTGTTGATGTCAACAAAACAGCTTTCTGAGATTGTGATTGGTATTGTATTAGAATTATGTTGGAGAAATTGGCATCTTAACAATATTGAGTCTTCCTATTGATGAACATGGATTCTCACTCTTTTCATTTCTTATTTAATTTCTTTCAACAGAGTTTTGTAGTTTTCTTCATATAAATCCTGTATATATTTTGTTAGATTTATACTTATTCATTTAATATTTTTGGTTATAACATAAATGGCATTTTGTTTTTAATTTCACATGTCATTTGTAGATTTCTGGCATAAAAAATGCTATTGATTTTTTAACTAACCTTGTATTCTACAAACTTGCCATAATCCTGTATTAAGTTCCCCGCCTCAATTTTTAAAAATCATGTCTTTGGAGTTTTCTAAATAGACAATCATGTCATTGAAGAAAGACATCTAGGGTCACTTGTGGGTTTTTCCCCTAAAATTTAGTATTTTCACCCATCTTTATTTTATTTCATTTTTTAAAATGTGAAACCTTAACATAGCTTCAAAACACAAAACTATGCATAAAGCTACACTCAGAAGCTGCACATTGTACCCGGTGCTCCTTTATAGCCTATAGGTAAATAATTTGATTTGTTCTTGCCTTATTCTTTGTTTTTCTTCTTTAAAAAGCAGATATAACTTTGTAATGTTTTTAAATTATATAGGTATATATATATAAGGTATATATATATATAGGTATATATACCCATATATAGGTGTGTTTTTATAGGTATATATACCTATATATACCATATATATATACACCATATATGTATATATATGGTGTATATATATATATGTACACACACAAACCTTAATTTGTATATTTCTTTGTGCTTTTTTTCATTTAACTGCAATCTTGGAAATAACTCCATATTGGTTATAGAGATTGTCCTCACTTTCTCTATCAGGTTGCTATAGTTCTTCCTGGGGTGTATGGTTTATGTAACATAATTCGTTCAAACTATTTTCCATATTTTGCCATATAGATTGTTCTTATTATTTTAAAATTACAACTGCTGATACAATGAACAAAGTTGTGCATATGCATGGAGAGAACTTAAGGATAAATTCCTAGAATTGAGATACAGTATAGTTTATTAATATAATGCTATAGTATAGTTTTATTAGAATTTATCAAATCTCTTTCTACAGTGATTGTATAATATTGTGTTTCCAATGGCTATATATGATTGTGCTGCTTTCCCGACATTCTTACCAACTAAACATGTTACCAATGTTTTGAATATTGGCAATTTTTGAGAGGTATAGAATGGTATTTCAAAGTAGCTATCACAGATATTTCCCTTATGAATTCATTTATATAGCTTTATATCATGTATTTGGTATTTTCTTTACATTTTGGATTATCTTATTTTATACTTTCCTATTTTGTATTTTATTTTGTTATTCTCTCCAATATGAAAATAGTTAACCTGGAATATAGATTTGCTTTTAAGTTATTATTTTTTGGTGAAAAATTCAAAATTTGTTTACTATGATTTTAGCCTTAAATAAATGTATTAATATATGGTAAAATTTATCACTCCTTTTTGTTATTGAAACTAGGTTTTGAGTTATAGTTAGAAAGATTTTTGCACATCAAAGATTATAAGATTTTACTCATCCTTTCTTCTAATTTGTACACGGTATCTTTCTTTATTTGGTTATTCTCTGCTAAATTTATATCTCCAAATAATTTGTACTTGATTGTTGTGTGGTATGAGATATAGACATTGTTTTTTTCTCAAAATGACTATCCAATTATCTCAATGTAATTTATATGTCCCTTTTAGCTCTGGTGATATAAAATGCCAACATTATATTATAAATATAACTATATACTTGGGTCTACTTTTGTAATTCTTTATTAATTCATTTCTGCCTGTGTATTAGTGTGCCAGTATGTTATTGCATTACTATAGAGACATTGTTTATGTTTAAATATCTAGTGGGGCTAGAGGCTCCATGCAAAGCTCTAGCTATTAATTTTTACACTGGCTATACACCTTCCTGTTCATTTTCCATTATGTGTAGTACAAAAACATGGGGGTTTGTTGTACAAATTATTTTGTTACCCAGGTATTAAGCCTAGTACCCATTAGTTATTTTTCCTGATCCTCTCCTTCCTCCCACCCTCCACCCTTCGATAGAACTCAACATGTGCTGTTTCCCTCTATGTGTCCATGTGTTACCATTATTTAGCTCTCACTTGTAAGTGAGAGCATGTGGTATTTGGTTTTCTGTTCCTGTGTTAGTTTTCTAAGGATAATGGCCTCCAATTTCACCCATGTTCCTGCAAATAAGAAGATTTTATTCCTTTTTATGGCTGCATAGTATTTCATGGTGTACATGTACCACATTTTCTTTATATAGTCTACCATTGATGGGCATTGAGGTTGATTTTATGTATTTGCTATTGTGAATAGTGTTGCAATGAATGTATGCATGCATGTGTCTTTATAATAGCATGATTTATATTATTTTCGCTATATACCCAGTAATGGGATTGCTGGGCCAAATGATGTTTGTGTTTTTAGGTTTTTGAGGACTTGTCACACTCTCCCACAATGGTTGACATAATTTACAGCCCCATCAACAGTGTATAAGCCTTCGTTTTTCTCCACAATTTTGCTAGCATCTTTCAATTTTTGACTTTTTAATAACAGCCATTCTTACTGGTATAAGATGGTATCTCATTGTGGTTTTGATTTGTGTTTGTATAATGATCAGTGATGTTGAGCTTTTTTATATATGATTGTTGGCCACATGTATGTCTTCTTTCGAAAAGTGGCTGTTCATGTCCTTTGCCCACTTTTTAATGGGGTTGTTTTTTTACTTTTTGATTTGTTTAAGTTCATTATTGATGCTGGATATTAGACCTTTGTTGGATGCATAGTTTCCAAACATTGTCTCCCATGCTGTGGGTTTTCTGTTCACTCTTTTGATAGCTTCTTTTGCCATGCAGAAGGCTCTTTAGTTTAATTGAATCTCATTTGTCAATTTTTGCTTTCATTGCAATTTCTTTTGGTGTCTTTATCACGAAATACTTGCCCATTTCTATGTCCAGAACAGTATGGTCTAGGTTGTCTTCCAAGGTTTTTTATAGTTTTGGGTTATACATTTAAGTCTTTAATCCATCGTGAGTTAATTTTTGGATATGGTGTGAGGAAGAGGTCCAGTTTCTATCTTCTGCATATGACTAGTCAGTTATCCCAGCACCATTTACTGAGGAGAGAATCATTTCCCCATTGCTTATTTTTGTCAGATTTGTCAAAGATCAGATGGTTTTAGGTGTGTGGCTTTACTTTTGGGTTCTCTATTTTGTTCCATTGGTCTATGTGTCTGTTTCTGTACTAGTTCCATGCTGTTTTGGTTACTGTAGCCTTGTAACCAAACTACAACCTTGTACTGCAGTTTGAAGTTCGGTATCATGGTGCCTCTGGCTTTGTTCTTTTGCTTATGTTTGCCTTGGCTATTTGGGCTCTTTTTCTGTCCCAGATGAATTTTAAAATAGTTTTTTCTATTTCTATGAAGAATATCAATGGTAGTTTATTGGGAGTAGCATTAAATCCAGAAAATACTTTGGGCAGTTCAGTCACTTTAACAACATTGATTCTTCCTATCCATGAGCATGGAATGTTTATCCATTTGTTTGTGTCATCTCTGATTTCTTTGAGCAGTCTTTTGTTGTTCTTGTAGAGTCCTTCACCTCCATTGTTAGCTATGTTCATTGATATTTTATTTATTGTGTGTGGCAACTGTGAACGGGAAGATGTTCCTGATTTGGCTCTTGGCTTGACTGTTGTTGGTGTATAGGAATGTTTCTGATTTTTGCACACTGATTTTGTATCGTGAGAATTTGCTGAAGTTGTTTATCAGCTTAAGAAGCTTTTGGGCTAAGACTGCGGTTTTGTAGATATCGGATCATGTTGTCTGCAAATGGGTAGTTTGACTTCCTCTCTTCCTATTTGGATGCACTGTATTTCTTTCTCTTGCCTGATTGCCCTGGCCAGGACTTCCAATACTATCTTAAATAAGAGTGGTGAGAGAGGGCATCCTTGTCTTGTTCAGATTTTCAATAGGAATGCTTCCAGCTTTTGCCCATTCAGTATGATATTGGCTGTGGGGTTGTCACAGGTGGCTATTATTATTTTGAGGTATGTTCCTTCACTACCCAGGTTATTGAGTTTTTAACATGAAGCAATATTGAATTTTACAGAAACCATTTTCTGCATCTATTGAGATCATTATGTTGTTTTAGTCTGTACTGATGTTTATGTATGAATCACACTTAATGATTTGCACATGTTGAACCAACCTTGCATCTCAGAGATAAATCCTACTTTATTGTGGTTGCTAAACTTTATGATGCACTTATGGATTCAGTTTGCCAGTATTTCATTGAGTGTTTTTGTGTCAATGTTTCTCAGGAATATTAACCTAAAGTTTTCTTTTTTTATTGTCTCTCTGCCAGGTTTTGATATCAGGGTGATGTTGACCTCATAGCCTCAAAGAATGAGTTAGGTAGGAGTTCCTCCCCTTCAATTTTTTTGGAGTATTTTCACTAGGAATGATACCAACTCTTGTTTGTACATCTGATATAATTCAGCTATGAATCTACCTGGTCCTAGGCTTTTTTGGCAGATAGCCTACTTATTACTGACTCAATTTCAGAGATCATTTTTGGTCTGTTCAGGGATTCAATGTTTTGCTGGTTCTGTCTTGGGAGGGTGTATGTCTAGGAAATTACCCATTTCTTCTAGATTTTCTAGCTTATGTGCATAAAGGTATTCATAACGTTCTCGGATGTTTATTTGCCTTTCTTTGTTGTCAGTGGTAATATCCCCCCTGTTGTTTCTGTTTCTTTGAATCATCTATATTTTCTTCTTTATTAGTCCAGCTAGTAGTCTACTGTATATATCACCTCTTGGATTCATTTTTTAAAATGGTTTTTCGTGTCTCAATCTCCATCAGTTCAGCTCTGATTTTGGTTATTTCTTGTCTTCTGCTAGCTTTAAGAATGGTTTGCTCTTGGTTCTTTAGTTCTTTTAGTTGTGATGTTAGGTTGGTAAATTGAGATTTTTCTAACTTTTTGGTAAGGGCATTTAGTGCTATAAATTTTCCTCTTAACACTGCCTTAGCTGTGTCCCAGAGATTCTGGTATGTTGTATCTTTGTTTTCATTAGTTTCAAAGAACTTGATTTCAACCTTTATTTCATTATTCACCCAAAAGTCCTTCAGGAGCAGGTCATTCAATTTCCATGTAATTGTATGGTTTTGAGTAAATTTCTTAATCTTGATTTCTAATTTGATTGTGCTGTGGTCCAAAAGTTTGTTATGATTTCAGTTATTTTGCATTTGCTGAGGAGTGTTTTAATCCTGATTATGTGATTGATTTTAGAGTATGTGTTATGTGGTGATGAGAAGAATGTGTATTCTGATGTTTTTCAGTGGATAGTTCTGTAGATGTCTATCAGGTCTATTTGATCCAGTGCTGAGTCCAAGTTTTGAACATCTTTGTTAATTTTCTGTCTTGATGTTCTAGTATTGTCAGTGGGGTGTTAAAGTCTCCCACTATTATTGTGTAACAGTCTCTCTTTGAAGGTCTCTAAGAATTTGTTTTATGAATCTGGGTGCATCTGCGTTGCGTGCATATATATTTAGGATAGTTCAAACTTCTTGTTGAATTGAACCCTTACCATTATGCAATGCCTTTTTTGTCTTTTTTACTCTTTTTTGGTTTAAAGCCCCAGGTTTCTCCCTCTTCATCCCAACTTCTGTGTATTCCCTTCATCCAATCTCAGTGCCTTCTCTGAATATCTGTTAGAAGCACGTTAGTCATCTTAGTCCTAGTGGGAGCTGTTTCACTTGGCTGCATCTAGCTGACCATTTTGCTCTTCCCTCCTGTTTCTGATTATTTTTGTGTCTTTAGAAAGGTTTTGAGATTTTCTTTTTAAATGCTTTAAACATTTTTATGTTAATTTGTATGTTTTGTTGTTGCTGCTACTAGTATAAATGAGGTTTTCCCTTTTTTATATCTGTAAATAGCTTTTTTATGTGTATTAGGCTATTGGTACTTTAAAAAAATAACATTATCAAGTTACAATTACATACCATATAATTCACCCATTTAAAGTGTGTAAAATTTAGTGATTTTTGGTAAATTTACAGTTATACAACTATATCAGGGTTCTTCAGAAAGAATCAGTAAGATATAGATATAGATATGGATGCAGATAAATAAGAGGAGATTTATTACAGCAATTGGCCCATATGGTTAGGCAGGGGCTAGAACTCCCATGATCTGCCATCTGCAAACTGGAGAACCAGGAAAGTCAGTGGTATTATTCGGTCCAGGTTTAAAGGCTTGAGAATTAGGCGGCCCATGGATGGTATAAACCCTAGTCTGAGTCTGAAATCCTGAGACGCAGGAGAACTGATGTCCGAGGGCAGAAGTTGAATGCCTCAGCTCAAGCAGAGTGAATTTATATTTCGTCTGTTGCTTTGTTCTATTCAGGCCCTCATCTGCTTGGATGATGCCCACATACATTGAACCAGGCTATCTACTTTAATTGATTCACCAATTCGAGTGCTGATCTCTTCTGGGAACACGCTTACAGAAATAGTGTTTTACCAGCTATCTAGACGTGCCTTAGCCCAGTCAAGTTGACACATAAAATTAACCATCATAAATCCATCCCTTGTCAAAATGGCCCCTACTTGCATCTTCTTAAAGCATACTTAATCTCCAAATAAAACCAATAACAAGGTCAAAATTTTACCTGTCATGATACAGCTATCCTGTGTACAACTGAAAACACACTAATTCTTTCTCCAAAAGAACATATAAAACACTTCAGTTAGGTTTAGTCTTTTCCTGATAACCTATAACTTAATACTATGATTCAAAATTAATAATTACTGATAAAAAGTCAATATATCATATGTTACATAAGGGAATAAGAAAGGAAAGAAAACAATGATATTTGCTTAATATATGTATATATACAAACAAATATATTCATAACAAAATAAGGAGTAAATACCCATGGCGTTTGTAGTTCTTCTAACTGGTTACATGTTCACAGCTAATATTTCTAATTACCTTCTTTTTTTACCCATTCTGTATTCACTTTGCCTTCACTAAGCACCTCAGCTGATTATTGTTCTGATGGAGTTACCTAAGGCTTCATTCCTGAAATTTTTGGGCGATTCAGAGTCCTGCCTGGACTGGGTTGTTGTAGTTTTCTGACTTTAATTACAGGTCATGGTAATAACAAGAGACAATTTAAGAAATCTATATTCCAAACATACTCTCCATTACCTCCACTGTGGAATAATAGTCCACTTTTCTGTTGTCAGTCAAGATTAATTATGCCAGTCAACATCAAACCTTCCTTGCTTGTCTGTTACTTCAGAAGCATATGAGGAGCCCCTTGGAGCTGGGTGATAGTGTCAATGTGCAGTTCGATAGAAGTACTGTGTCTTCTGCTGGAAGCATTTCTCCCTCTGGAACTAAAAACTCTAGGACAGAAAAGCATAAAGTCACAGGAAACATAGGCGCAAATTTTTCTAGAGAGGAAATAGAGATTTTAATGGAAGTGGTGGCACTCCCATTTCTACCTCTTGTTTCTTGAGCTCATAAATCCTGGTGTCTCAGTCTGTTTTGTGCTGTGATAACAGAATATCTGAGACTGGGTAATTTGTAATGAAGAGAAATTTATTGGCTCACATTTCTGAAGGCTCAAAAGTCTAATATCAAGGTGCCAAGATCTTATGAGGGACTTCTTGCTGTGTCATCACATGAAGGAATGTGAGAGGGTGAGAAAGAGGACAAGAGGGGGCTGAACTCTCCTTCTTATATCAGCAACAATCTCACCCATGAGGGTGAAATCATCATGGCTTAATCATCTTTTAAGGTTTCCGTATCTTAATGCTCTTACAATAGCAATTAGAATTTCAACATGAGATTTGGAGAGGACAGCCATTCAAACCATAGCATTCTACACCTGATTTCCAAAACTCATGTCCTTCTCATATAAAAAAATGCATTTATTCTATTCAGTAGAAACGTCTTAAATCTTTCCAGCAGTAGATCAAAGTTCAGTCTTGAGTAGAATCTAAATCAGATATTGGTGAGACTGAAGACATGGTTTATCCTGAGCCAAATTTCCCTTCATTTGTAAGCCTGTGAAATCAAACAAGTTATCTACTTCTAAAATGCAATGGTGGGACAGGCATATGATAGACATTTCCATCCTAAAAGGGAGAAATAAACAAGAAAAAAAGGTGGTAACTGGTCACAAATAAGTTTTAAACCCAACAGTGCAAATAACATCAAATATTAAGGCTCCAGAATAATCTTTCTTGACCCCATATCCTGCCTTCTGGGCACACTTGGGTGAGGGTTCAGCCCCCATCATCTTGGGCACCCTCACCCTTATAGCTATGCTGAGCTCAGCCCATGCAGCAGTTCTTACAGGTTGATGTTTCATGCCTACAGCTCTTCCCGACCAGCAATGCACACTGGTTGCTTTCAGTTCTGGGGCCTTGGAAGTAATCCTACTCTATAGCTTCTGTAGGCATAGCCCTAATGGTAACTCTCTGGTGACCCTACCCCTGCAGCAGGTATCTGTTTGGGTCCGCAGGTTATCTGATACATTCATTAATACCTAGGTGGAGACCACCATGGCTCTATAGCTTGAGCAGTCTGTGACACTGCAGAGCTAGGATCACATGGACAATACCAAAGCTAAGTATCCATTCCCTGGGGAGCAGTGGTCCAAGTGCCACCTTGGCTCCCTTGGCCAACCAGCAGTGCCCTGTTAGAATGCGGGAAGCAGAGACTTGAGGTGGCCCTAAGCAGCAAGCCAGAAAATCTTTAGGGCACCCTAGGCCTCTCTTGACATATTTTTATTTTCCAGGTCTTGGCTTTCTGAGCCTGTGGTGGGAGGGATGGCAGGAGTAATTTCCAAAGTGCCTTTAAATTCATTATTCTGTTGTCCTAATGAATAATGCGCAGTTTTGTTATATCCCCACTAATATCCTTAACAAATGGTCCTTTGGCCATATCTTTGGTTCCTCTCCTGAAAATGCTTTTTTATTTTTTTTAACCACAGGACCAAGATAAGAATCCTTCAAATTCCTAAATATCTGGAGAAATTAGGAAGTCTGGGATCTCCAACTATTTTCTTTTTCTTCTTCAATATTGTGGCTAGGCAGTCCTTTGAGATTTCATGTAAATTGTAGAGTGGATTTTTCTACTTCTAAAATAACATCATTAGGACTTTGACAGGGTTTGTATTTAATTTGTAGATAATTTTGTATAGTATTTTCATTTTGAAAATATGTTTTTCAACCTATAAATAAGGTATGTCTTTCCATGTATTGGTGTCTTGTTTAATTTCTTTCAGCAAAATTTTGTAGTTTTTTGTTTGTCTGTTTTGTAGAGATGGAGTCTTACTATTGCCCAGGCTGGTCTCAACCTCCTGTCATCAAGCAATCCTCCTGTCTCAGCCTCCCAAAGTGTTGAGAGTACAGGCATGAGCCAACATGCCTAGCCAGTAGTTTTTAATGTACAATTGTTCACCTCTTTGGTTAAGTTGATTTCTAAATGTTTTATTTTTTGAACTTGTAAATGAATTTCTTTTTGAATTGTTCATTGTTAATGTATACAAACACAAGTAATATTTGCATATTCATTTTGTGTCCTACAATTTGCTGAATTCATTTATTTGTTCTATTAGGGGTATTTTTGGTGGAATCTTTCAAGTTTTCTGCATTTAAGATAATGCCATTTGCAAACAGACACAATTTTACTGCTTCCTTTCCAATTTGGAAGACTTCTACTTTATTTATTTATTTATTTATTTTTGCTTAACTCTTTTAACTAGGACTTCCCATACTATAAAAATAAAATTGAATAAAATAAAATAAAATAAAAATTATGAAAGGAGACATCCTTGTCTTTTTCCTGATTTTAGAAGAAAAGCTTTTAGTCTTTCACCATTGATTATGTTAACTGTGTTTTTTATATATGAATTTTATTATGTTGAAATAGTTTTCTTTGTTTCCTAGCTTTAACTTTTTGAATCAAGTGATGTTGAAATAAATTTTGTTCTGCAACAAGTAAGATGATTGATATTATTTTCCCCTTTATTCTGTTAATGTGGCGTATTACATTAATTGATTTTAGTATGGTAGAGCATCCTTAGATTTTAGCAGTTAATACTACCTGTTCATGGTTTATAATCCGTTTAATATGCCATCACTTTTACATTGTGAGTAATTTTTGAGGATTTTTTTTATCAACATCCATCAGAGATAATGGTTTACAGTGTTTTGATAATGCCTTTGTCTTTGTTATCAGGGCCATGCTGACCTCACAGTATGAGTTTGAAAATATTCTATACTCTTAAATTTTTAAAAGAGATTAAGAAGGACTGGTGTTAGTTCTTCAAATGTGTTATAGAATTTACCAGTGAAGTCAAATGTTTGGGGATTTTCTTTGTTGTAAAGTTTTTAATTACTGTTTCAATCTTCTTAATAGCTATAGGTTTTTATAACATAGTAACATCTGGCAATCCTGTTTATTTCTATAAAGTCAATAGTCATGTCTTCTCTATTATGCCTGAATTAGGTATTTGAGTATTATCTTTTTTTGCTTAGTCAGTGAAGCTAAAGCCTTCTCAATTTGTTTATCTTTTTACAAGAATCATCTCATGATGTTATCAATTTTCTCAATTTTTAAATTATCTGTATTGTTTGTCTCCTGTCTTATTTTTGTTATTTTCATCCTTCTGCTAGATTTGTGTTTAAACTTTTCTTTTCCTAGTTTCTTAAGGTATAAAATTAGACTTTTGATTTGAGATTTTTCTTCCCTTTTAATATAATTGCTTATAGTTCTAAATTGTCTTCTTATTACTTTTTTTTGCTGCATCTCATACCTTTTGGCTTGTTGTATTTAATTTTCATTTCTCCCATGATTTTTAAAATATTTTTAATAGTTACTTCCTAGATCTATTGGTTGGTCAAGAGTGTTTTTTTTCAGTTTTCACATATTTGTGAATTTTCCATTGTTCCTTTCGTTCTTGATTTCTGGTTGTATTCCACTGAGTTCAGATATGATATTTGTTGAATTTTAGTCTTTAAAAATTTATTGAAACTTGTTTCGGGGTGTAAAATATGAAATTTCCTGAAGATTGTTCCATAATCACTTGAAGAAAATGTATATTCAGTTGTCAATGTGAGGAGCATTCTGTATGTCTATTATGTCAACTTGGTCTGTAGTACTATGAACTTTCCTAGTCTCTACCAATTTTTTGTGTGCTCTTTCTGTTATCGAATGATCTACTCCTGTTTATGTCTCCAGCTATTATTGTAGAATTTTCTATATATTTGTTCAGTTCTGTGAATGTTTGCTTTACATACTTTGGAGCTTTGATGTTTGGTGCATATTTGTTTATAATTGTTATATATTCTTGGTTAGTTAAACCTCCTATCAACATATAATGTTCTTTTTTTGTCTCATAACAGTTTTTTTACATAAAGACTATTTTATTCTAATATTAGTATAGCCACTACTACACTTCTTTGGTTATTAATTTGCATGGAATATATTTCCCATCTTTTTATTTTCCACTATAATGAGTTTCTTGTACACAGAATGTAATTGGATTATTTTAAAACAATTCACCCACTTATCTATGCCTTTCAATTGAGGGATTTAGTCCATTTATATTTTTTAAAAATCCTTATAGGTAGGGGCTTATATTGCAATCTCGTTATCATTTTCTATATGCTTATTAATTTTTGCATTCATCATTCCCTCCATTACTTCTTCTTTCTCTTGTTTAGTTGAGTTTTTGTTATAGCATGTTTTAATTCTCTTCTTATTTCTTTTTGTGTATATTTCATAGATATTTTCCTTGTGGTTATTATAGGGATTGAATATAATACCTTAAAGTCACAACAATCTATTTTAAATTGATATCAATTAAACTTTATTTGCATATATAGACTCTACTTTATCTCTCTGCCCTACTGCTATGTATTATTAATATCACAAAGTACATCTTTATATATTGTGCATTCATTAAGATAGACATACATTTTTATGCATTTTGTTTTTTTAAATTCTGAAGAAAAATTTATATTACAATAATCTTGGTTTTCATACTGTTGATGTATTTAACGTCACTAAATATAGTTATATTTTCATCTGGCTTCACATTAACATGTAGTATGCTTTCATTTTGGCTTGAAGAACTCTTTCTAGCATTTCTTGTAGGGCATGTCAGGTGTATTTTGATTGATAAGGTATGGACTAACAATTCTGAAACTAGTATAAATGCGTGCTAGAATAAACAAGTAAATGAATGTCAGATGATGATAGCCTTGTTTCTTACTTCTGGAGAACAAGCAAATAAAAATAACTAGATTTATCATTGTTGTAATTGATTACTTAGAAACAAAAGTATGAACTAATAATTACTTCATATAGATAGAGATGATAAATGAGTAACCTTAGATTGATAAATATTTTTACACACATGTGCTAGCATACACGCATACCCCTATTGCTCTGCTAGCTGAGAAGACCTTGAAAAAAGGATACATCAATAACAATAAGAACACCCAGAAACCAGATCCAATAAACTTGGTCTGGTTTTTAGTACCTTTATCCAATAAACAGGAGCAGATTTACCTGGGAAATAATGGATTTTAGGACATTTTAAAAACTATAGAAGATAAACTTAGAGCATTGTGTAATGACAGAAAGTAAAGGAAATACTCAACAATTACATGATAGGAAACACACACATGCACAATGATTGGGTATGCCAAATTAGCATAGGAGTTTACTTAAAGAGCTCCCAGCTGTGAATAGTGGCTCACCCATGTAATTCCAGCACTTTTGGAGACTGAGGAAGGAGGATTAGTTTAGGCCAGGATTTCCATAACAGTCTGGGCAACAGAGCAAGACTGAACTTGTGCAAAATATAAAACACCTGACTGTGTGTGGTGGCACATGCCTATAGTCCCAGTTATGTGGGACCTGAGGCAGGAGGATAATTTAGACCCCAGAGTTTGAGACTGCAGTGAACAATGATCACACATCTGCACTTCAGCCTGGGCAATAGAGCAAGACCCTGACTCAAAACAAACACAAAACAAAACAAAACAAAACAAAGAAAGAGATCTCAATAACCAAAGGTGGAAGAATTTGAAAAACAAAATGAATAAATTACATTGTAGTATAACATAAGGAAAAAACAAATATGTATGAGTCCACATTGACATAAATAAATGAATAAGTAACTAAATGAGGGACAATGAACAAATGTCCCATTCAGAAGAATTCCAAATAATTTAAATTAGATACTACCCCCACAAGGAGCTCCACTTCATAAGTGTTGGCCGAACATGAGGACATTCTTTTGAACTGTATAGTACGTGAAGGGGTAAAAATACTGACTTTTATAGTTGAAGAACCCTGACAAACACTAACTTTGCCTAGTGATCAAGGTTAACATTGCCAGTGAGAAAGTGTGTTCATAGCATGTACCCTTGATATAATGTGATACAAAAGACACTTTACCTCCACAATCTTCTGGAAAAAAAAAACATAACCAGTCTACTCATGTGACAAATAATTAGACATATTCCAATTAAATGACATTCTACAAATTACTTGATTAGTACTTTACAAACCTGCCAATGTCATCAAAAACAAAGAAATTCTAAGAATCTGTCATAGACAAGAGGAGCCTAAGGGGACATGATAACTAGTATAATGTGATATCCTGCATGAAGTCTTGTAATAGAAAAAACACATTAGTTAAAATTAAGAAAATTGAAAAAAGTATGGGCTTTAATTAACAGTAATGTATCAATATTGATTTGTCAGTTTTGACAAATGTGCCTTACAAAGGCAATTTATTAATATAAGGGGGGAAACTGGGTGTTGAATACATGGGAATACTCTGAACTGTATTTGCAACTTTTCTGAAAATTTAAAGATATTCTAAAGAAAACATTATTTTCAAATGAGCTAATGCCAATGTCATCTTTCTCCATTTTTTTTTCTTTTTAAAAATCTCTGCTTTCTTCATCCACTTGATAGAGGTTCTTTGCCAAATCTCCTGCTACCAGGGCTAACTTGGGCAATTCTACTTCTTCTATTTTATTTTTCTATATTTAGTGAATTTTATGTCTATATCTTATTTATAGTGGTCAGTGAACCATATGCTATATACATTTTGGGCTTATTCTTTTCTGTCTTTTTTCTTAAAAGCCTCCATATTTTATGCTTTTACTGATCATTCATTCACTCTACAAATATTTCTTGTATATCTAATATATATACCTGGAATTTTGCTGGACACAAAAAATAGAATAATAAAGAAAACAAATAAGATCTTTTTTCTAATGAAATATACAGGGGAATTTAGAAAGTGTAGCATCTCTATTTATTAAGAATTCTAGATCAGTGGGCATATAGGCCTAGATTTAAAAAACTAACTTTATCACTTGCTAGCTATTTTATCTTGATTAAATGACTTAATCCCCATAAACCTCAGTTTCTTAACCTATAAAATTGGGAGAAAATAATACCTGCTTCATAAGATTGCATGAGATTTAAATAGTTTACATAAAGGAATTACATGTACATGTTAAAATTGCTTGATAAAAAGTTGACACTTTCAAAATTTGCCTTACTCCAGGCAAATCAGCTTTTAAAATAAATGCCTATGGGGCACGATTCTCACGTTGTCATTCTCCATTAAGTTCTGCTTGTCAACTATCAATGTTTATATTGTTTGTGTATGTGTTTACGTGTGTGTGTGTGTGTGTGTGTGTGTGTGTGTGTGTTCATTTCTTGTTTCTCATACTAGGGCAGGGCTTTTGCATTCCTTTATGCTATTTAGCACAGTTTCATGCATATACCAATGTTGCTGATTATGTGGCTAAAACCCTGATTTTTTTTCATTATTTAGAGAATACTTTATTAGTTTCTGTAATCAAACCCATGTACATAAGACCTTACATATTTAATACAGTGTGTTACCCCTGTACAAATCGAAAAAAATAAGTTTAATGTTTGTAGACCAATATGGCCGTTAATTTCTGTACAATGCCAACTCAACACAGTAAACTGGGGTACTTTTTCCAAAGTTGACAGCACATCTAAAGTTTCCAAAAATTGAAATTATATATATGTGTGCATATATATATATAGATCAATAACAGCAGTATGTTACGGATCAATAGCAGCAACAGTTTTTCCAGGTTCTGCGGTCATCTGAACAAAATTATAGAGACATCCAGCACACTCCATTTAAAAAAATGGCGGGGGGAGGTAAAAAACAAAACCCCAGAAAACTACAAAGTTCTGTTACTGTTGTGGTACCTGGCACCATTTTTTAAAATTAGCTTCTGAATCATCATGTGGAAAGAAAACATTCTAGAATAACCTAATTAAAAACAGCTCTTATAAAGTATGGTCACTACTAAGTATCATAAAGCAAGTACAAGATATTTTACATTCACAGAGGTATGATACAGTACTGTCCTATATCTATAATACTAGAGGATACAATTAAAAAGGCATTATTCGAGAGTTGATTCTACTTTTCCAGAAGGGGGCCCAAAGGACGGCATGACACAGCTCTGTAAAGAAATGCACCTTCTTAGGATTTCCTTTAATTAGGGGCACAGTTCTAGGTAGTCACTGTTCTTCATGAACATCAGCTAAAAACTGGTGTGATTCAAGTAAAACTCCTGAAACACTGGCCAACCCTCCTGGTGTCTGTCACGGAAAAGTAGAAGAAAAGTCACCCCCTGCACCATCCATAGCCACCAAACCTGTTAGAACTGGACCAATCAAACCTCAGACGATCAAAACTGAAGAAACAAAATCTTAAAGGCTATGGTTTATTGCAGGTGATTGGGAGATGGAGAGGGAAAACATGGAGAATTAAGTCATATAATGCCAGCAGCCAAAGGGGCAAAATGGTCTGTAACATTTTCCTGTTCAGAGCTTGGAGATGTACAAGGGACATAGGAGGAATTTACACTGACACACAGCTGCTATACCAGTAAAAATGAGGCTTTGCAAGCTTGCACCTACTATGTAACATGCGCTGGGCTGATGGCTATGCATCTTCAGTCAGAATTTATATATAAATATATAAACCCATTTTTTTTGAGTACATATAATTTAGACCTAAAAATCCTTATGATTAGATGAAACACCAAAAATATAAGGAAAATAAGACTGCAGAGGAATAACTCAGCCTGAACAATATCGTGGTCCCAGCTAATACATCAGGTGTGTTTTTTTTTGCTCCCCTATGTTCTTTGGATATGGTTATGGTGTTTGTAGGCTTGGAGGTGAAGAACTGAAGATTACTGGTACTGGATAGAGGAACTTTATTTTTCATTATGGCAGCTTGCTGTTTTTATAACATGATGATTGAGTTGAACACAATCAAAGTACAGTAGTAACTGATCTCCCCTTCTTCCTGGATGAGTGAGCAGATGATTAAATATTGATGTCAGCATCGTTGAACCGTATCAAAGTGAACAGTGTTTGGCTGCTGCTTCTGTTTGAAATGATGCTGTGTTTTGGTTGTGGTCTGAAGCTTTGAAGCACTACTTGGCATCTCCTTTCTTCCATGGAGCTCTCACCATTCAAACATGACAGATTTGTTAAAATACTACTTAGGTTGAGTCTTCCTTGCCCCCACTCAGTCATCATTGCTAGAAACCTGTGGTTTTGGGGTTCTTTTCTTTTTCTTCCTTTTTTTTATACCAGTTTAAAACCCTGATATTTTTATGGAAATAAACTGTTTGGCTATCCATTCAGATAAATACCACCACCATTTGCTAATGAAGACCTGTGGACAGGATTGCACCATGCATTGGAAAGAACCCATATATATTCTTAATTCCTCTAATATTTACTTTTTTTTTTACCAACCAGCTACAAGATGAATTTTTCATTCCACTAAAGTCAAAGTTCCTGGAGAATCTCATTGTTTTCATTTTTAAAAGTGGATATAATATAACAAGGGAAAACAAAGACAATACAAAATGTTAATTCAAATAGAAAAAAAAAACAGCTGTTTATTTCCTACAGAGTAAAAGATAAGAAATTCTCACAAAAATTCAATTTTATTTAATATTGATATATTAATTCATGACAACAAAAGAATGCTGGGTTCTCTTGAATTTGAAAAGGCAGCTGTGATCAGTGTTAAGCAAACTTGATGGTCCATATCTCATATTTCAGCTGTCATCACACAGTATTACAAAACTCATGGTCAGAATTACAGATACCACTTACTTTTGTTGCTGATTGAAATGTACTGTTCAGCACAGAAACAGGGAAGGACCTCTTCATGTTAATAAAATTTTTCAAAAACTTTGACAAAGATTTTCTCCTTACATTTTGTGTTCAGTGATAAGAAGAAAATGAAGGGACATGGTTGCTGCTTATTAATAAGCATAGTAATACTTATAAAACTGCCTGAGACTGCTATTTATTTTATTTCAGTTCTAGCACCAATTATATAATATTCTCTCGAAAACATAGCACTTGAAGTTTTCTGAGTATGTTCCTTAGAAAGTTGGGTATTTATCATCACAAAGTGTGTAACTTACCTAGTGAATTGTTCAAAAGATATGACATTTTTTTCCCTGAAGTATTGGTATAATTCTTACATTCTTTGAAACTGCTTGTTTTACTTCTGTCTATTATAGAACACAAAATTTTAGTTTTGTAAGACACCTGGAGACAATCTATTACAAATCATTTATTTTACAGATGAGGAAGCAGACATTATAGACTTTTTTCAACATTTTCTCAAAATCTGTACGTTAGTAGATGTCATTTTAAATAAATGTACATAAACTAAGTTCAATGTCACCTATGATATATTGTCTAAAAAGTGTAGGGTATACTTCAATTTATTATACAATTAATACACATAATAACTATTATTGCTGAATTAAGACAAAAATAGGCTAAGCATCAAAAACAAAAAAGCAGTTTTATAGGTAATATAATAATATAAAGAAGAGTTTCAAAAGAATATAAAGATTATAGCAGTAATTCAGCCATAATGATCAATGCACTTCTTTCTAAGGAACATAATTAAAATATCCAGGCTGGGCGCAGTGGCTCACGCCTGTAATACCAGCACTTTGGGAGGCTGAGGTGGGCAGATCACCTGAGGTCAGGGGTTCAACACCAGCCTGGCCAACAAGATGAAACCCCACGTCTACTAAAAATACAAAAATTAGCTCGGCGTGCTGACAGGTACCTGTAATCCCAGCTACTCGGGAGGCTGAGGCAGGAGAATCGCTTGAGCCTGTGAGGTGGAGGTTGCAGTGAGCTGAGATCGTGTCACTGCACTCCAGCCTGGGCAACAGAGTGAGACCCTGTCTCAAAAAATAAATAAATAAATAATTAAAATATCTACAGAACCTGTGAAACTGGACATTCTTGCTTGAAACAAAAGATTTTTATGCTTTAGAGACCTCTTTGTGGAAAATTTAGAATCTACTTCTTGATCAACCTTGAACAGACAGCAACTAATATATAACTAGTTTTGTTACTGTTATCGTTTTTGCTGTTTGCTATGCCCTGGGAATTGGAGGTATTTATTGTGATGGAATATAGGAAGACATTAGGAAGTAGTTATTTGAATTAGGAATTATGCTTCTAAATTAATTTTGTAAATAAAAGTACAAAAATGGAGTTGTTATTTTCATGTATCTTCAAATCTATAGAATGTTTGTTTACTACGAAGTGTTTTATTTCTTAAAGGATTCACATTCTTCCCACTTAGAAACGGTAAGAGTGAGTTCCTTGACCTAGATAGAAATTCTATCCTGGGCTAAGGCCCAACATTTTAATCTGTTCTTGGCAGTCCTTTTATTTTAATGAAAGGTGTTTGATTCATTTAGAATGCAGATTTTTTTCTCTTGATTAGTTGTTGTGCAATCTACTTTGGAGCTGAAATTAAATATTCTCGGAGCAAACTCAGAATGGGAGCAAGATGGCAGCAGCATAGAAGGTGCCACTGATTGGCCCCCACCCAACGACACCAATTTAACAACTATCTACACACAAAAAGCCCCTTTGTAAGAAACAAAAATCAGCTGAGTACTCAAAGTACCTGGTTTCAACTACTTATTGCTGAAAGGGACAGTGAAAAGGTAGGAAAAACAGTCTTGAATCACCAATGCCACCCCTCTTTCCACCCACTGGCAGTGCTAGTGTGGTGTGAAGAGCATTTTTGTTGTTGTTGTTGTCGTGGGGGAAGGGATTGACTCAGTGCTGCCCTGTTATAGCAGAAGCAAAACTGGACCAAACTTAGCTGACACCTGCCCACGGAGGGAGCATTTAAGCCTGCCCTAGCCAGAGGGGAATTGCCAATCCCAGTAGTCCAAATTTGACTTCCAGCAGGCCTCACTACTGAGAGCTGAAATAAATTTGAAAGGTAGCCTCTGTCACAAAGGCTGCAACTCCTAGGCAAGTCCCTGTACTAAACTAGGCCCAGAGCTGGTGGACTGGGGGCAGGGACACATGACCTATTGAGATGCCAGGTAGGGTGGCTAAGAGAGTGCTGGAATCGCCCCTCTTCTGACCCCAGGCTACACATCTCATGGCTCCAAAAGAGACTGCTTCCTTCTATTTGAAGACAGGAGAGGAAAGAGTGGGGAGGACTTTATCTGCATCTTGAATACCAGCTCAGCCACAGCAGGATAGGGTACCAATCACAGTTGTTAGGCTCCCTTTCCAGGACCTCAATCCCAGATAACATTTCTAGACACCCTGGGTCTGAAGGGAGCCCTCTGACATGAAGAAAAAGATGCAGTTTTACCAGCATTTGTCACTTGCTAACTGAAGAGCCCTTGGACCCTGAATAACCAGCAGTAATATCCAGGTACTACATCAAAGACCTTGGGTGAGACTCAGATTTGGAGGCTTCAGGTGAGACTTAGCATATTCCCAGCTGAGGTGGATACAAGGTGAGAGACTCCTTCCACTTGAGAAAAATGGAAGGAAAAGTAAAGGGCACATTGTCTTGCACTTTAGAGATCAGCTTAAACACAGAAGGGTAGAGGATCAAGTGGGCTATTGGGGTCTCCAGTTCCAGGACTGGGCTCTTGGAAGACATTACTAGACCAGCTCTTTGTGAGAGGAGAACCTACTGCCCTAAAGGGGGAGTCCAAGTGAGGCAGCATTTACCACAAGCTGATTGAAGAGCCTTTGGGCCATAAGGGAACATCGGAGGTAGTCTGGCAGTACTCCCCACATGTGGAAAAATTCCTAGACACATACAATCTACCAATAATTAACCATGAAGAAATCCAAAACCTGAATTTTCCAATAAGAAGTAATGACATCAGAGCCATAATAAAAATTATCCCAGTAAAGAAAAACCCAGGACATGATAGCTTCACTGCAGAATTCCACCAAACATTTAATGAAGATGTAATACCAATCATAGTCAAGTAATTTTGAAAGTTAGAGGAGGAGAAAATACTTCCAACCTCCTTTTATGAGGCTAGTATTACCCTAATACAAAAACCAAAGACACCTCCACAAAAGAAAACTATAGACAAATATCCCTGACGAATATTGATGCAAAAATCCTCAAGAAAATACTAGCAAATATAATTCAACAATATATTTAAAAGATCATTCATCATACCCTAGTGGGATTTGTCACTGCGATGCAAGGATGGTTCAACATGCACAAATCAATGTGATAAATCATCATCAAAATGAAGCACAAAAGTTATATGAACATTTCAATTGATGCTGAAAAGGCATTTGATAACATTAAATATCCCTTCATAATAAAACCCTGAAAACAGTGGACACAGAGATAATATACCTCAACCTAATAAAAGCCATATATGACAGACCCACAGCTATTATCATACTGAATGGGGAAAAACTGAAAGCCTTTCCTTTAAGATCTGAAACATGAAAAGAATGCCCACCTTCACCACTGTTCTTCCACATAGCACTGGAAGTATTACCTAGAGCCAACAAACAAGAGATAGGAATAAATGGCTTTCAAATTAAAAATAAATAATTCAAATTGTTCTTGTTTGCAGATGGTATGATCTCATACTTGGAAAAACCTAAAGACTCCACCAAGAAACTACTAGAAGTGATAACAAATCTAGTAAAATCACAGATATAAAATCAATATGCAAAAATCTGTAGCATTTATATATGGCAATTGTGAACAATCTGAAAAGGAAATCAAATGTAATTCAATTTATAATCACAAAAAATAAAACTAAATTCTTAGAAATTAGCTTACATGAAGAATTAAAAGATCTCTCTAAGTACAATTATAAAACACTAATGAAAGAAATTGAAGAGAATACCAACAATTGCAAAGATATTCCACATTCTTGAGTTGGAGGAATCAACATTGTTAGAATGTCCATAATACCGAAAGCAATCTACAAATTCAATGAAATCTCTATTAAAATAACAATGACATTCCTCACAAAGATAGAAGATAATCCTAAAATTTATATAAAACCACACACACACACACACACACACACACACACACACACACACACACACACAAAATAGCTGGAGCTATCCTAAGCAAAAAGAACAAAACTGACTTCAAATTATACTACAGACCTATAGTAACCAAAACAGCATGGTACTGTAATAACAACAGACACATAGACAAATGGAACAGCAGAGAGAACCCAGAACAAAAACCACAGACATGCAGTGAATTCATTTTATACAACAGTGACAACAACATACACTGAGGAAAAGAGTCTCTTCAATAAATGGTTCCGGGGTAAGTAGATATTCATCTGCAGAAGAGGGAAACTAGACCCCTATCTCTTGCCTTATACAAAAATCAAATCAATATGTATCAAAGACTTAAATCAAAGACCTCAACCTGTGAAACTACAGCAAGAAAACATGAAGAGAACTCTCCAGGACATTGGTCTGGGTAAACATTTGTTGTGCAGTACTCCACAGGCATAGGCAACCAAAGCAAAAATGGACAAATAAGATTACATCAAGTTAACAAGCTTCTGCACAACAAAGCTGGAAATGATTAAGGAAACCATTAACAACATGAAAAGGCAACCTACAAATTGGGAGAAAATATTTGCAAACTACACATCTAGGAAGGGATTAATAACCAGAATATATAGGGAGGTCAAACAGCTCTATAGGAAAAAATCTAATAATCTGACTGAAAAATGGGCAAAATATCTGAATAGGCATTTTTCAAAAGAAGAAATACAAATGGCAAACAGGCATATGAAAAGGTGCTCAACGTCAATGATCATCAGAGAAATGCAAATCAAAACTGCAATGAGATTAGTTAAAATGGCTTATATCCAAAACACAGGCAATAACATACGCTGGCAAGGATGTGGAGAAAAGGGAACCCTCTTACGTTGTTGGTGGAAATGTAAATTAGTACAACCACTATGGCGAATAGTTTGGAGCTTCCTCAATAAACTAAATATTGAGCTGTCATATGATCTAGCAATCATATGGATAGAATTGAAGGTCATTATGCTAAGTGAAATAAACCAGGCACAGAAAGACAAATATCACATGTTCCCACTTATTTGTAGAATCTAAAATTCAAAACAATTGGATTCATGAAGAGAAAGTGTAGAAGAATGGTTAACAGAAGCTGGGAAGGGTATTGGGAGTGTCAGGGGCAAGTGGGGATGGTTAATGGGTACAAAAATGTTAGAAAGAATAAATGAGACCTAGTATTTGATATCACAACAGGGTGACTGTGGTCAATAAGTTAATTATATGTTTAAAACTAACTAAAAGAACAGAATTTTTGTGTAACAGAAAGATAAATGCTTGAGGATATGGATACTCCATTTTACATGACATGATTATTACAATTTGAATGCCTGTATTAAAACACCTCATGTACCCCATAAATATATACACATACTATATACACATAAATAAATAAATAATGTTTAAAAATTTAGGTAGCAAGATTGTGCACTGAAGGAGAACACCAGGAATAGATACTGTGTCCATAGGCTTCCATTTTACAAATATTGCTGAAATGCTCTGAGACAGAAGTATAATAATGTTGTCAATTAATATATAAAGTCTGCAAATTTAGCATAGATTTTCATTTCTTCATCTTATTTTCTACAGCATTCCCAAAATATGCTTAAAATATTTGTGGGCTCTTGATTAGAAAAGAAAACAATTCTGTCACACAATTGTTAATAGTGATTAATTTTTCATTACAAATAAAAAGTTACTGTTATTTTTATTTTTATTTTTTAAGAATTATCAATTTATTCTTACAATAGCTGAACACATTGTATATGCCTTTTATTTCTATATTCTTTAATCAGACAACTTCAAAAGATGAGTATATATAGATTGAATAATATTGTTATTTCCAGCTTCAATGAGGTATAAATGAAATATTTAAATTATATATTGTAGATCTACAAATGAAGATTTGACCTTTTTATACATTGGTGTTTTACTAATTTTTAATTTTTTGTTTTGTGGGTACATAGTAAGTGTATATATTTTGGGGTACATGAGATGATTTGATGCAGGCATGAAATGTGTAATAATCACACTATATGAAATGGGGTAGCCATCCTCTCAAGCATTTGTCTTTTGTGTATCATATTCCATTGTGTACATATTTATCACATTTTCTTTCTTCATTTATTCATTGATGGACACTTAGGTTGCTGCTATATCTTGGCTACCACAAATAATGTTTCAATTAATAATAGAATGCAGGCCGGATATGGTGGCTCCTGCCTGTAATCACAGCACTTTAGGAGACCAAGGAGGGCAGATCACCTGAGGTCAGGAGTTCAAGACCAGCTTGGGCAACATGGTGAAACACTGTCTCTACTAAAAATACAAAAATTAGCCAAGCATGGTGTCAGCTGCCTATAGTCCTAGCTACTCAAGAGGTTGAGGCAGGAAAACCGCTTGAAACCTGGAGGCAGAGGTTGCAGTGAGCCAAGATTGAGCCCCTGCACTCCAGCCTGGGCAACAGAGCGAGACTCCATCTCAACAACAACAACAACAAAATAATAATAACAATAATAGAAGGCAGATATCTTTTCTAGAAGGTGGTATGATTTCCTTTGCATATATACCCGGAAGTGGGATTTCTGGATCAGATAACAATTTTAATTTTTTGGGAATCCTTCGTACTGTATGCTTCTGTTTTATTCAAAAAATCATTGCCAAGACCAAAATCATAGTCCTTTTCCCCTTTGTGTTACCCTAGGTAATTTATAGTTTCAAGTATTACATGTGTCTTTAATCTATTTTGAGTTGATATTTGTGTATATTGTAAGATAAGGGTTGAATTTTATTCTTTTCTATATGAATATCTAATTATTCCAACCGCATTTGTGGAAGAGACAATTTGTTCCCCATTGTGTATTCTTGGCAACACTGAGAAACGTAAGTTCAACATACATGATTGCATTTATTTCTCAACTTTCTGTTCTGTTCTACTGGTCTGTGTGTCTGTTTTCATGCCAGTACCAGAGTGTTTTTATTCCCATAGTTTTCTAATATATTTTGAAATTAGAGCGTGTCATGACTCTTGCTTTGTTGTTCTTGGTCAAGAGTGCATGTGCTATTCAGGTCTTTTGTTGGTTCATGCAAATTTTAGGATCTTATTGTTCATATAGCATTGAATCTGTAGGTCACTTGGGGTAGCATGGAAATTTTGGCAGTATAAAATCTTTCCAATAGCATGCATGGACATATTTTTTATTTATTTTTGCCTTCTTCAATTTCTTTCATTAATATTTTATAGTTTTCAGTGTATACAACTTTGTCCTCCTTGGTTAAATTTATTTTTTGATATTTTATTCTTTTTGATGCATGCAATTGTAAATGGGATTTTCTTCTCAATTTCTCTTTAGATAGTTCAATGTTAACATATAGAGATACAAATGATTTTGTGTGTTCATTTCTTATTCTGCAATTTTATGGGATTTTTAATGAGTTCTAACTATTTTTGGTGTAGTGTTTAGTGTATTCCATATATAATGTCCTGACATCTGCAAACAGAGATGTTACTGTTTTCTTTATGATTTGGATGACATTTATTTTCTTTTCTTACCTAATTGTTTTTGCTAGGACTTCCAGTACTATGGTGAATAAAAGTGGCAGGAGTGTGCATCCTTGAATTCTTCCTGATCTTACAGAAATAGCTTTCAACTTTTTACTGTGGAGTATGATGTTAGCCATGGGCTTGTGATACATGGTCTTTCTTGTGTTTAGGTACATTTCTTCTATATTTAATTTGTTGTGAGTTTTTATAATGAAATATCTTCAATTTTATCCAAAGATTTTTCTACATCTCATGAGATGATTCATTCTGTTAATGTGGTGTGTTCCATTTGTTGATTTTCAGATGTTGAAACATTCTTGCATCTCAAGGGTAACTTCAACTTGATGATGTTATATGATCTTTTTAATGTGTTGTGGAATTTAGTTTGCTAGTGTTTTGTTGAAGACTTTTGCATCTGTGTTCATCAGGGTCATCATCCTCTTTCTTTTCTTGTAGTGTCTTTGTCAGGTTTGGTATCAGAGTAATGCTGGCCTCATTAAATGACAATTTTAAGTGTTTCTTTTCATTTTTTTTTGGAAGAATTTGAGAAGGATTGGTATTCTTCATAAAATGTTTGGTAGCATTCAGCAATGAGGCTATCAGGTCCTGGATTTTATTTGATAGGAGGTATTTTTATTACTGATTAATTCTCCTTTCTCATTATTGGTCTGTTCAGATTTTCTGGTTTTTCTGATTGAGTCTTTTTTTTTTTTTTTTTGAGACGGAGTCTCGCTCTGTCGCCCAGGCTGGAGTGCAGTGGCGGGATCTCGGCTCACTGCAAGCTCCGCCTCCCGAGTTCACGCCATTCTCCTGCCTCAGCCTCCCAAGTAGCTGGGACTACAGGCGCCCGCCACTACGCCCGGCTAATTTTTTGTATTTTTAGTAGAGACGGGGTTTCACTGTTTTAGCCGGGATGGTCTCGATCTCCTGACCTCGTGATCCGCCTGCCTCGGCCTCCCAAAGTGCTGGGATGATGTTCCTTTTTATGTGAGTTTGTAAAATTTTCTCTTCCTGCTTACAAGAATCTCTCATTGCCTTATACTTTTGTCAATTTGTTTACAATATGACTTTGTGTAGTTTTGTGTGAATTGAACAGATTGGAGACTTTTGAGCTCTTTGTACCTGAGTATTTAAATCTTTCTCTAGATTTGAGAAGCTTTCAGCCATTATTTATTTAAATAATATTTCTGTCCATTTCTCTCTGTCTTTTCCATCTCAAATTCTTGTGATGTGAAAGTTAGCCATTTTGATGCTGTCCCATAAAGTCCATACTTTCTTCATTCTTTTTACTTTTAAAAACTGATTGTATATTTTCAAATAACCCACATTTGAGTTAATAGATTGTTCTTTCTGTTTGATGAAATCTGCTATTGATAATCTCTATTACATTTTTCATTTCCTTCATTTTGATTTTTAGTTCCAGAACTTCTCTTTGGTAATTTCTTATACAGCTTTAATCTTTTTGTTAAACTTATTTTGTTCATTTATTATGTTACAGATGTTGTTAAATTGTCTCTGTTTTCTTTTGAAATTTGCTGAGGTTTCTTAGAACAATTATTTTGGATTATTTTTCAGGCAATTTAAAGATCTCCATTTTTTGTGGTCCGTTACGGGGAAATTATTGTATTCTTTAGTAGTAATATGTTTCCTTGGTTTTTCATGTTTCTCACTGCCTTGCATTGATATCTGCACATGTGATGGAGTAGTCGCCTCTTCCAGAGTTTATTGAAATACTTTCCATGAGGAAAGTCTTTCCTCGGTAGGTAGTTGAAAGGACACTGTTTGAGTGGTTGTGGAGGTTCTGGCTCTGGTTTGGGCACAGCAGCATAGTTTCCATGCAAATCTCCCAGCTAAGTTTGACGTTGGCAAAGATTGCAGTGGTTTTTAACAGCCAAGGCTGAAAGTATCTGCAGTGGTGATGAAGGCCATTAAAGTTTTTAATGGTGAAGGCTGTTGGGTCTTTCTCATCATTTTTTTTTTTCTACCAGAGAAGTCATGGCCCTGATGATCTTTATTAGCACTGGATCCAGCTTAATGGCATGTTTCCCCTGGTGTCTCATGAACATTGCCTAAGAAGCAGCCATGGAGCTTGGATCTGAAGCATGGGCACACATGGAAAGATCAAGACTCTAGGGTCCTGGGCTGCCATGACAATGGTGCCTCGTGTACAGAAACCCTCATTGCCATATTGGTAATAATGTGTGAGGTATAGGTGTTTGTGAAGTAGTTGGGGAATTGAAGTATGGAGCACAAATGTGTGTAGGACAACAATAGCAATGCAGTTTTCTGTGCAGACTATCTCATAGTAACATTGTTTCTGAGTTTTAGGTGCAGGTGCATGCAGTACAGCAATGGGGCTGGAGTTTGGAGTGTTAGCACATGAATGGCTATAGTAGCCTTAGGGACTGGAGAATGGGTTAGCTGTGAGTGTGGCTCAAACACCAGATACATTATTTTCATGGGGTGGCTACAGGGCAATGACCTGTAGTTTATGCAAAAACAGAGTAACTGTAGGGTTTAGGGCCTATGATGGTGCTAGTCCTTAACTATGGTAGTTCCAGTGTTTAAGATGTGGATGTTCACTGGTAAGCACAGAGAGATTACAGAGCCACGGTCTAGAATGTGGACACTGGTGAAGTGGCTACATCTCTGTGGCGCTTGGTGGGGGGGAGCAGCATGCACAGGGTTGGGAGGGATGGCAGCTTCAGTCCTAGAGTAGCACAGTTTTTACCTCTGGGTGGCCATGGTGCAACCACATCTTCCTCTATGGGGGTCTGCAGTGGTGATGGCTATTTGTTACCTCAGTGATGAAAGGTGCCAGTATCCTCTGCTGATGAGGCCATTGGAGTCTGCAGTGGAACCCAACATGTGGCTGACACGGATAGCCATCACACTTCTTCACTCTTAGTCATCTCCAGACATTACAGATATGCCACTTTCATCATATATCCTTTCTGTGCAGTTTTTTTCCGTTTTTTTTTTCTACTTTGTTACTGTTTATTCTGCAAAGGATCCTTAAGCCCTGTCAAGGCTATTTTTGTTTATGGTTTGTTGTTTTGTTGTTGTTGGTGGTGGTGGTGGTGGAGGAGGAGGATGAAAGCAGGTATCTCCTACTCTGCCACATTCCCGATGTCACTGTTCCAAAGCTTGCCTTAGGTATTCTGATGATCTCTCATTAAATACATATATATTAAAGACTACTGTGTATTTGTAGAAAATTAACCCCTTTATTTATTTATTTATTTATTTATTAAGAGATGGAGTTTTCACTCTTGTTGCCCAGGCTGAAGTGCAGTGGCGCGATCTCCACTCACTGCAACCCCCACCTCCCAGGTTCAAGCAATTCTCCTACCTCAGCCTCCCGAGTAGCTGGGTTTACAGACACAAGCCACCACGCCTGGCTAATTTTTTTTTTTTTTGGATTTTTAGTAGAGACTGAGTTTCACCATGTTGGCCAGGCTGGTCTTGAACTTCTGACCTCTGGTGATCCACCCACCTCAACCTCCCCCAAAACTGAGATTACTGGCATGAGCCACCGTGCCCGGCCCCTTTATTGTTATGTAATACCTCTTTTAATGTTTTATTTCTTGTTTTGAAATCTACTCTGTCTGAAATCAGTGTAGCTAAGCCATCCTTTTCTTAAACTAGTGTTATCATGGCATCTTTTCCTACATTTCTATACTTTTAATCTATCTGCGTCTTTATATTTAGAGAGGATTTCTTATGAACCACAGTTTAATCTTTCTTTTTATCTACTCTGAAAGTCTGTCTTTACATTGGTGAGTTTTAACCATTCACATTTAGAGTGATTATTGATATAATGAGATTAATATCTAACACACTTGTTAATTGTTTTCTATTTCTTACACTTGTTCTTTGTTTTTAGTTTTGTTATCTTTTTTCTGTCTTTTTGATTTTAATTCATCATTTTATGTATCTTTATTTTCTCTTCTCTTTTATCACATCAATTATTCTTATTCTTGATTTTGTTATTGGTTTCCCCAGAGTTCACAATGTAGCTTACTTTCACATAACACTATATCATTTTACAGTTTAGAAGGGTGGTTACCAGAGATCAGGAATGAGGGAAATGAGATATTGGTAAAAGGGTACAAACTTGAGGTTATAAGATTTATAACTTTTGAAGATCTTATGTACAGCATGGGGACTACAGTTAATTACAATGTATTATATACTTAAAACTTGCTAAGAGAGTAGATCTTAAGTTTTTACCACACACACAAGAAAAAGTAGCTATGTGAGTAATGGATATGTTAATTAGCTTTATTGTGGTAAGCATTTCACAACGTATACATATTTCAAAATGTCATGTGGTAGACCTTCAATATATACAATTTTTATTTGTCAATTATACCTCAGTGAAGCTGGGAAGAATCTAAGTCATTTAGAGTGCTCGTGTCCCTGGGTTGTGACTTTCACATGTCCTCTGTGGTTCTATAGCTATTTGTTTTCCACCTAGATAAGACAGAAAGCCTAGAAGGAGATAAACTTGGTTAAGTGTCTTTCTTCTAGTTTGGATGAGACCTTGGTGAAATTATTTCTTTTGCAGAAATGCCCTTTGTCACGATGAATATGTTGTGCATATTTTAAATGGTTACCTTTTCCATCTCCTTGCCATAAAAAGGAAGATTTTAGGGTTTTTTTTTTTCTCTTTACCATGAGAAACTGGTGAGTTCCTGGAGGTAAAACTTACAAAAATGTGGACTTTCCCTTAGAAATATGACCCCCAGACATTTATCACTTTTGCTGTAGTGCACACTCAGCCTCCATCAATTTTTTATAATTATTGTTTTAGTGATCCTGTCAGTTTATGGTTCTATCTTCTGCTCTAGGTAAGCTGATATCCTCTGTGGCTTCTGAATTCATCATTCACTTCAAGTTTTCAGTGGCAGTTTGGCACTGTCACCTCAATTCTCTAACTGGTCCAAGAAAAATTCCTGCTTGAATTAAGTGATATATTATGACCACAAATTAGAAAACAATATTATAAAGTTAAATTTCTCCCCCAAATGATCTGTATATGTAGATTCAACAAAATACAGGATAGGACATCTCTTCATTTATTTCTGGGTTCTCTATTCTGTTCCATTGGTCTATATGCCTATTTTGGGGAAGTTTCAACATTTTATATACATACATAATACTTACATACAAAGTCAACATTGTGATAATGCACTTTTGTGGCATCAAATTTATAAAAAATACATAAAATCAATTAGAACCCTCCAAAAGTCTCTACACAATTTCAACCTCCAGTATTGGAAATGAAGTGAAGATGAAATATAGTATAGCAAATTGCAAAAAAAAAGTACTGATAATTTAAAATAGTGAAGAAACCTGAAAAAAGAAAAAGAAGATAAAAATGACTAAAAAGAAAATTTTTAACATATGAAAAAGTGTATCACAGGGATAGTTTATGGGCAGTTTCACAGAGATACTCCCTAAGAGATAACTGACTTTTATGATCATTAACTATATTTTGAAATATTGTGTCTTAATGAATAGCTGCCTTTTTTCTTTTAGGAAATGGCTGTCCTCAGAGAATATGATCACATTCATTTGCCACTACATGGCATTGCCTTTTCTTGAAATTCTTTCATGATTTGATATACAACAACATGAGCATTTCTGATTAAATTTTCCCATTTTATGTGCAATGCTTCTATATTGTTTTGGTTATGCAAAATATCCAGTCTGTATGCACTCAATTATAGGCCACAAATTTGATATAAACAACACTGGCCAAACAGCAACACTATTAAATAAGTGGCTTCTTATACTACCATACACAAAATTATTTTTGAACTTGTAGTTAACTACACCAACCTTTCGGACAAATGCTGTTTTAATTCCTGAAAAGTTCCTGGGATGTTATAAGCTTGAAGGAATGCCAATGCAGGCAAATGATACATTTTTAAACTGAAGCTTTTGTCATTGTCATGCTATGTGACCAATCCATTCATTAGAATTTTTACCAAATGCATTGAGGTTAATGGAAAAAAAACTTTATTGGTAACATTTTGAAATTCATTTGTAGAAGCTCTGGCCACACTTACTCAAAACTGTCATTGTGGTTTGAAAATTTATTTTTTTTTTCTGCAAAGTTCACCAGATCTTCAAATGAGCATTTACAAAATGCTTTACTATTTTGAGTTTTTAATACAAAAATGAGTAGAAAAGTTCTAAAATTTTTGGATTCAACCAGGGTATTAATTGTACATAGTTAATAAAAAATAGTGGGGACAGTTGGAAGTGCCATTCATTAGACACAGCGAAGCATATTTCTATATTAGGGTTAGTGGTAAATATAAGAAAATCAGAGAAGTTTACCATTTAATGTGTTTTGTAACACTGAAGAAACCAAAATATGAACAAGTATCTTTGGTTCAGAAGGTCGCTGAGCTTGTGGAATTCTTTATATTCTCTGACAGGCATTTTTTGAAGGCAAGTATGGCACCTATGTATGAAGGAGCAGAAATACATGATTGAATAATTTGGCAGGGGAGAGTTCTTGTGTTTTTCACCTGCATTTTTACTTATTCTGTGATCTTTGAAATACTCACTGCACTTGTATTTGGAGAGTGCTTCTGGTCTACAAATTTTGTAAGTATATGCTGTCCATTTAAAAGTCTGGTTATTGCTCAGCTGGTAGAATTAAGCAGATTTTTGCTTTTGCAGCACCAATTATAATTAACATTTAAACTTGTATCATTCGGCGTTAAGTAACCTTGTACATTTAACTAATCATAGCCTTTTTAAAAGGTAATAATTTCAGAGATCCCATTCATTGTCTTGTAAGAAACACAATAAGAAGGAATGATATTCAGCTTCCCCCTATGCCAAGTCTGTATAACCCATGGTTCTCCAGAGAGTAATAAGCAATAGGATATGTATGTAGATATATGACAGAGAACTTAGGGGAAATGGCTCATGTAATTATGATAGCTGGGAAGTCCAATGACAGGCTTTATGCAAGTGGAGACCCTGGGATGCTGGTAGAATTGTTCAGGATTTTAAAAGCCTCAGAACCTAGGGAGGCTGCAGTAAATTCTGCAATCCAAAGGCTGGCAAGCCTAAAATTCTGATGACTGAGGCACCAGAAGAAGACTATTTTAGTTCTCAGGGAGAGACAAATTCTCCTTCTAAATTTTTTCTCTCCAGGCCCCAGGTGATTGGATGATGTTGACCAATAACAAGGGCAGATTTTCCCTACCTAATCCACTCAGATTCACACACTAATCTTCTCTGTAAACAACCTCACATACACACCAAAAATAATCCTTAACCAGGTTTCCAGGTATTATTTCATCTTGTCAGGTTGACACCTAAAATTTAGTACACAAATCCAATTCTGGACAATGTGGCACACATATGTATCTCCTTAAACTGTACTAATTTGTTATAATGTTTAGTACAATACTGTAACCCTTGAATAAAACCATGGGACCCATATGAAGTGCCACTAGTAATGCTGGAAGTGCTTTCAAGGAGCACAAAAAAGTCTGACTTTACAAGAAGGAGTTCAATTGACTGATATGTACTACAGGTAGCACAGAAAAGTCATGAGATTACAAGAAAAAGTTGAATTGCCTGATATGTACTATAAGTTGAGGTCTGCAGCTGTGCTTGCCTGACATTTCAAGATTAATAACTCAAACTTAAGGATCATTGTAACAAAAAGTTGAAGCCATCAGTGTAGTTATACCAGCAAGTCCCAAAAGCTTGCCTTTTTGAGAAATACCTTATCTTGTGTTGAATATGCAGCTTTTATGTGAGTGAAGGACTGCTAAAAGAAAGGCACATCTAAATATTCTAATACAATGCAAGGAAAAGCCCAGTTATTATATGAAAACTTAAAGCAAAAGGAAGATGAAGGATCTAAAGCTGAAAATTTTAATACCAGCAAGAAATGGTTTGATAACTTCAGAAAGACAAATTCTGGCTTAAAACGTTTTTAGAAATTTTGGCTTAAAAATATCAAGAAAAGAGGAGAAGCATCTTCTGCTGACCTAGTAGAAGCAGACCAGGTCCCAGCTACCATTAAGAAAATCATTGAGGACAAAGTATATCTACCTGAATGAGTTTTTAGTGCACACAAAAGTACCCTATTCTGAAATAAAATGCCACAAAAGGACATTCATTAGGATAAAAGAGAGGTGAGTACGAGGATTAGAGATAGGATAGTATAACTCTTCTGTTTTGTGTAAACGTGGTCAGATTTATGATAAGGACTGCCCTTATCTATAATGTTGCTAACCCTGGAGCATTGAAGGGAAAAGATAAATGCCAGTTGCCAGTCTTTTGGTTGTAAAACAAGTAGGCTGGGACAATAAGAATCTTTTTTCTCTATTAATCATTTGAGGCTTTGTCCTTGAAGTCAGAAAGTACCTTACCAAAAAGAGACTGCCTTTTAAAGTTCTTATAATATTGTACAATGTCCGTTGCCACCCAGAACCCTAGGTGTTCAACACTGAATGTATAAAAAGTGGTCTAATTGCCCCCAAAATAATGTTTGCAATTCAGCCTCCAGATTAGGGGGTCATAGGGATCTATAAGCCTCATGGTTCTCTAAGGAAAGGATTGTCAACTGTATGGAAAATAATTCTAATAGAAGATGATAAAAATCTACCATTCAAGATGCCATTATCGTTACTAAAAAAAGCCACCGAAGGGATCAATACATTTCTGCTGGAGAAAATTGTGTTCAGACGTTGTGCATGACTTCACAGATTTAAAACAGAGCCAATCAAAGAAATCATACAAGAGATTGTGGGTATGACCAAAAAGGTGTGTGGGGGCGTGCGAAGTGTTTCCAGATATGAATCTTGAGAGGTTCTGGTTCAATATGGCTGACTAGAAGCATTTATTTACCTTTATTACAAAGATAAGCCCAAATAACAAGTAAATAGCAAGACCTCAAGTACATCATCTCATAGAGCAGACTGAAATTCACCAGGTAAGTGATGGGACCCACAGAAAGCCAAGAAGTGTGCAGCCAGACTACCACTGATTCAGGACAGGTGCAGAGCCAAGAGAGGATCTCGAAGGTGGGAAAGGGGTGGGTGAGTGAGACACCAGCAGTGATACACACCTTCACCATGGACCTTTACAATCCTAGTCATGGGAGAGTCCCCTCAATGCCCCCAGGCCACCAGAAAAACACAAGAGCCACCTGAAAACAGTGTAGAGGCACCGTTCAAGCCCACATGGAATCCCACAGGCTTTTGATCCCTGAGTAGGCCACTGTCAGCTACTCACCACCCCACCAAAGAGAAAGACCAGGTACTTTCATGTACCCCAAAGATAGAAACTACATCCATGGTATTGTGGAGCAGCCAGACTGTGCACCACGTGACTTTCCAACTCTGCTGCTCCCTACCAAATGAGGCTTGCCACCTTCTGGCCCCAAGCACACCCATACCATCTCCATCTGAACGCTGGCCACAGTTCAGCATTCTTTTGAGAGCACCACTCCCAGAGGTCACTGACAAGCCCTTTACAGCTGCCTCCACCCCTGCTGCCCCTACGCCAGGGAGGGAATGGGGAGGCTGGACACATTCTGGCACTGTCAGCACAGATAACTGCAGATGAGGTACAGAACAGCAACAGATTTTATGCCCCACAGCTCCCCACCTTCACTGCTTCCTGCTAAATGGGCCTTGTCATCTTTAGGCCTCCAGTGCACCTGCCCCACCTTCATCTGAACACTGCAGCTGTGGCTCTGTGTTCCTCTGAGAGCACACTCCCAGAGGTCGCTGACAAGCCCCTTGCAGCTGCCACTGCTACTGGCTAAGTCCTTGCCACTCCAGGGCCAGAGAGAGAGCAAGGAGGCCCAGCACATGTGCATGCCCCCAAGAGTATTAATAAAACCCAGAGCTACTTTTGTAGGAGGGAAGTGCAAGTGTGCCACACACCCCACAGCTGCCAGTCTCTGTTGCTCCAGCTGAGGGGACCTGGTTTCTGCAGTTAAAGGCCCACAGCACTGCTGCCCTGCCTTCACCTGAGCATTTCTCCTGAAAGTGTAACCCCACAACCTGAGAGTTCTGCTGGTGATCAGTGACCAGCCCACCCCTCTTCATCACAGCCAGCATCTGAACTCTGGGCTAGCCCAACCCTGCCTGGTCCAGCCTCTTCAGGACTCATAGACACTAACCAGCAGGCAATGTAAGAACTTGTGAACTATGGGACAATCTAGCCCAGTCCAACAGTTCTGCCACCAGACCACTCCCCACAGGGCATTAGGTCAGGCCAACTCAACCAGCTGACACCTCCACAACTGATGCCCATCTACATGGGCCAAAAAATAGAGACCTCTCTATACACATCAGTAGTGTTACCAAATCAGAGAACAGGCAAGCCATATAGCTGTCTGTATTGTACTGAGTGAAGGAGTTCCAAACTGAAGCCACTCCCACAGAGAGTAATGTGAAAGGAAAATAAATCTCAGGACCCCCAAACCACTAAGCTAAGAGAAAAGTCAAGCTGAAAACTATTTCAGGCAAACTTGCCTCACATTTTATTCCTAAATAAGATAGCTATAACGATAAGAAGCTACATACTTTCCTCTCTATTTGGCCATAGGAAATTCCTTCTAGACATAGGACAGACAGAACTCTAAGTCATTCCTCTGAGGCTCACCTGAGACAAATTCATATCTGATTGCTTCCTCTGCCCTGTTGTTTATGTAAAAATCCAGATTTACTGAGCCAGGCTAAATTGTGTATTCAGTGGAAGGCTGAACAAGGACTCAGAAGAATGCAACCTTTTGTCTTCTAACCCGGAAGCCCTCACTTCGAGTTGTCCCGCCTTACTGGACTGAACCAATGTACATCTTGCACATATTGATTGATGTCTCATGTCTCCCTAAAATGTGTAAAAGTAAACTGTACTCTCGACCACCTTGGGCACACGTCATCAGGACTTCCCTGAGGAAGTGTCATGGGTGTGTCCTTAACCTTGGCAAAATCAACTTTCTAAATTGACCGAGACCTGTCTCACATATTTTGGCTTAACAGTAACAATACAGGCATTTACTGTGGCTTAAAGATAGACAACAGTATGCCTCTAAATTGACAGTCATGAGCCATGGGACAAGGGTGTTACTGGGAAACAGATCGTGCTCTAGCCTATCCAGGGTATGGAGCCAGTGCCATCCCCTCACTTCCTGCAGAGACCTCAAGGACTCCTGGCCACCCCCATCAGGGCTGGTGCCTGCACTCATCACTGAAGTACTCGTAAGCATGCCAGGGGATCCAGCTCTGCTCAGCTTTGTCACCCTCCCTCGATTAAACAGGAAGCTAAGGGCACTGGGCACTCCACTACTCAGCTCATCACAGGAAACAACAGAGAGCATCTCACAGGAAACAACAAAGTGCATACATATCTGCTTGTGTTGCAGCTGGCTCTTACCCATAAACACCACCTAGTGGCCTGCACTTCGAACTGCACAGCCACATATAAAACCTGCCAATAAAAGACAACAGGTCTACAGAAGCAAAGACAAAAGGTCCTCCTCAACATACGTTATAGTCACACTCTCTGGGGAAGGATGAAAAAGAAATAAGGAAAAAAGCAATCCTATCCTAAAGAAAATAATTTCAAAAACAAGGAATGCCAGCCTTTGCAGATGAGGAATCAGTGTAAATCCTGGCATCATGAAAAAACTGAATATTGTGAGACCACCAAAGGATAACACTAGATCTCTAGCAATGGATCCTAACCAAACTGGAAATTCAGAAATGATAGATGAAGAATACAAAGTATGGATTGTGAGGAAGCTCAAAGAAATCCAAGAGAAGGTTTAAAATCAGCACATAGAAACAAAAGCAATCTGAGAAATAGAAGAGATAAATATATTTAAAAATCAAACAGAATTTTTGGAAATGAAAGAATCACTTATGTAATTTGGAACTACAGTTGAAAGGTTTGACAATACACCATACTAAGCATAAGAATTTCAGAACTTGAAGATGGGTAATTCAACTAAGTCAGATAAAAATAAAGAAACAAATGTAAAAGAATAAACAAAACCTTCAAGAAATATGGGATTATGTAAAGCAACCAAACCTGTAATATATTGGCATTTCTGAGAGAGAAGAAGAAAAATTAGGCAGGCTAGACAACATATGTGAGAGAATAATTCATAAAAATTGCCATAATCTTGCTAGAGAGGTAGACATCTAAGTACAAGAAATCCACAGAATGCCTTCAAGAGGCTATACAAAACAAACATTATCAAGGAATATAGTCACCGTATTATTCAAGGTAAACACTAAATTTAAAAATCTTAAAGGCAGCTAGAGAAAAGGGTTAAATCACTTATAAAGGAAAATCGATTAGACTAACAACATACTTTTAAGTAGAAACCTTACATGCCAAAAGATACTGGGGAGCTATTTTTAGCCTCCTTAAAGAAAAAAATATCAGCTAAGAATTGTATATCCTGCCAAACTAAGCTTCATGAATGAAGGAGAAATAAAGTATTTCCCAGCCACACAAATTCTAAAAGAAGTTGTCACCAATAGACCAGTCCCATAGGAAATGCTTAAAGGAATTCTAAATATGGAAATGAGAGGACGATACTCACCATCAGAAAAGACCATGTAAGGACAAAGGTCACAGATCCTATAAATTACACAATTAAAACTCCAAAACAACTAGCTAACAACAGTACAACAGGAACAAAACCTCATTTATCAATATTAACCTTGAGTGTAAATGGCCTAAATGCCCTGTTTAAAAGATACAGAGTGGGAAATTGTATTTAAAAATAAGAACCAATCATCTACTGTCCATGTGAGACCTACCTACTGGTTAACGACACATTCAAACTCAAAGTAAAACGGTAGAAAAAGACACATCATGAAAATGAAAAACGAAAGCAAGCAGGAGTAGCCATTCTCATATCTAACAGACTTTAAACCAACAACAATTAAAAAAGGTAAAGAAGGATATTATATATATAATGGTAAAGGGTTTAAAACAACAAGAAGATTTAACTATCTAAATATATATGTATCAAACACTGGAGCACCCAGATTCATAAAACAAGTAGTTATAGACCTATGAAAAAAGATTGATCACAAACAATAGTGGTGGGAGACTTCAACACCACACTGACATCACTAGACATATCACTGAGGCAGAAAATCAACAAAGAAACTGTGAACATAAACTGGACTGTAGACAAAATGGACCTAATGGATATTTACAGAACATTCCACTTAACCGCAGCAGAATATGTGTTTCTGTCACCTGCACATAGAATATCATACAGAATCAACCATATACCTGGACATAAAGTAAATGTCAATAAATTTAATAAAATCAAAATAGCATCAATTATCTTCTCAGATCACAGTGAAATAACATTAGAAATCAATACCAAGAGGAACTCTCAGAATTACATAAGTTAATGCAAACTAAACAATTTGTTTCTGAATGACATCTGGGTAAACAAAATTAAAACTGAAATCAAAAAAAATTTTGAAATGAATGAAAATAGAGACACCACGTATCCAAACCTCTGGGATAAAGGAACAGCAGTGCTGAAAGAAATCATAGGCAATACAAACAAATGAAAACACATCCCACGCTCATGGATGGGTAAAATCAATATTGTGAAAATGACCATAGTGCCTAAAGCAATCTACAAATTCAATGCAATTCTCATCAAAATGTCACCATCATTCTTAACACAATTAGAAAAAAACAATTTGAGAATTCATATGGAACCAAAAAAGAGCCCACATAGCCAAAACAAGACTAAGCAGAAAGAACAAATCTGGAAGTATCACATTACCTGATTTCAAACTATGCTGTAAGGCCATAGTCACCAAAACAGCATGGTACTGATATAAAAATAGGCACATAGACCAATGGAACAGAATAGAGAACCCAGAAGTAAACCCAAATACTTACAGCCAACTGATCTTCAACAATGCAAACAAAAACATAAAGTGGAGAAAGGACACCCTTTTCAACAAATGATGCTGGGTTAATTGGCTAGCCACATGCAAGAGAAGGAAACTGGATCCTCATCTCTCACCTTATAGAAAAATCAACTCAAGATGGATTATACAAAAATCAACTCAAGATGGGTTATGGACATTTGTTGAATAGCATGTCCTTTCCCCACTGTAACCTCTCACTGTAACCTCTACCTCCCGGGTTCAAGCGATTCTCCTGCCTCAGCCTCCTGAGTAGCTGGGATTACAGGTACCTGCCACCAAGCGCGGCTAATTTTTCTAATTTTAGTAGATACAGGGTTTCACCATGTTGGCCAGGCTTGTCTCAAACTCCTGACCTCAGGTGATCTCCCCGCCTTGGCCTCCCAAAGTACTGGGATTACAGACATGAGCCACCGCACCCAGCCGGTTCCATAAAAATTTTAGGATTGTTTTTGTATTTCTATGAAGAATATCACTTATACTTTATTAGAGATTACGTTGAATTCGTACATCATTTTGGGTAGTATGAACATTTTAACAATATTCTTTCAATCTATGAACATAAAATAGCATTTTATTTTTTGTGTCTTTGTCAACTTTATATTTTCAGTGTAGAAGACTTTCCCTTTTTTGGTTATGTTTGTTCCTAGGTATTTTATTTTTGTAGCAATTTTAAATAGAATTGCTTTCTTCATTCATTTTTCAAATGTTTCACTATTGGCACACAGAAATACTACTGATTTTTGTTTGTTGATTTTCTTTTTTCTTTTCTTTTCTTTTTTTTTTTTTTTTTTTTTTGAGACGGAGTCTTGCTCTGTCACCAGGCTGGAGTGCAGTGGCATCATCTCAGCTCACTGCAACCTCTGCCTCCCGAGTTCAAGCGATTCTCCTGCCTCAGCCTCCTGAGTAGCTGGGACTACAGGCACATGCCACCATGCCCAGCTAATTTTTGTATTTTTAGTTGAGACAGGGTTTCCCCATGTGGGCCAGGATGGTCTCCATCTCTTGACCTCGTGATCCGCCCGCCTTAGCCTCCCAAAGTCCTGGGATTACAGGTGTGAGCCACTGCGCCCAGCCTGTTGATTTTCTAACTTGCAACGTTACTGAATTTGTTTATCAGTTCTAACATGTTTTGGTGGAATCTTTGAGTCCCGCACTGGAGAAGAGTCCAGGACCTGATGACTTCACTGCTTCATTATAGCAAACACTTACCAAAAAAAATGCCAATTCTACTCAAACTATTTCAAGAAATTGAAAAGGAAGGAATACATTCATACTCATTCTATGAGGCCAGCATTATTCGGATACTACAACCAGACGAAGACACAACAAGGAGAGAAAACTACAGGCCAATATCCCTGATGAACATACATACAATAATCCTCAGCAAAATACTAGAAAATCAAATTCAACAACACATTAAAAAGATAATTCACCGAAATCAAGTGGGATTTATCCCAGGGATGCATGAATGGTTCAACATATGCAAATAAATAAATGTAATAAATCACATTAATAGAATCAAAGAAAAATCTATATGAACCTTTTAGTACATGCCAGAAAATCATTTGAGAAAACTCAACATCACTTCATAATAAAAACTCTCTAAAAACTGTGTATGGGAAGAACTTACCTCAGCCTAATAAAGGACATACATATGACAAACCCACAGCTAGCATCATATTGAATGGGGAAAAATTGAGCACCTTTTCTCTATGATTTGGAACAACACAAAGATGCCCACTTTTACCACTTTTATTCAACATACTACGGTAAGTCCTGGACAGAGCAATTAGACAAGAGAAAGAAATAAAGAGCATCCAAATTGGCCAGGAAGAAGTAAAAAATCTTGTTTGCAGACAATATAATCTTATATTTAGAATAACTTCTTTTAAAGTCTCTCTTTTCCTCATTTCACCTGGTTAAACTTCTAGCTGGTGTACAACTTAGCTTGTTGCGTTCTTAGAACTACTAGCCTCCTCTTAATTGATTACTACCAAAAATCTCCATTGTTTTCCATTGCTATTTTAGATTTAAACTTCCCAGCTCTGTTCCAGGTAAAGTCAGTGCCCTTGGGAAAGAAATATACAACTCTGTCTTATGGACTGCCTCTTCTCCTGGGCAAAATCTTTTTGCCAATCTTCCTCTCAAAGTGGTACTCTGGCTGTATAAGCAGGCCAATGGGCAGTTTGGGTAGATTCTGGTCTTTTCAGCTTATCTCTCTTGGCATGGAACCTATGCCCTCTAAGAAAGCTCATCTTGTTGAAACTGGGATAGATAAAGCTCCGGCCATATGAATGGGGGCTGGGTACAGGAACAAAACCTCTGATCTCTTAGCCAGATGGACCTGAAGAGGAATGAAAATTTTTAGCATCATTCTCCTCTTAGAAAGATGTTGTGGCCTTAGACTGGAAGGGAAGGAGAGAAGTAGCCATGTGTTGTTGGTTGGACCCCTTCCCCTACCTCACAGTAGAATTTCAACACACTGAAAAGGGCATGGCAATATGAAGGAGTGTGTTACGGTCCAAATATCTCAGACTATCATGACTCTTTCCAATATTTAGTATATTTTCTTAAATATATGCTAAATATATAAATGTATATAAGTGTGTATATATACTTAAGTGCTTCCTTATGTATTTATATACATAAATATATATGTATATGTGTGAATATATACACATTTATGTGTATATATAAAATTTTCTGTATGCTCTTTGGACAGTTTCTACAGATTGAAATTGCTGATTTTAAATAATTTTCGCAAATTATGTTTGTTTCACTGGGGAAAGGGTCTATAGAGCTTTTTATGCTACCCTTCTGGAATTGTCGCTCATCTGTTAAACTTTGTTTTTAATTTAATTAAATTTTAATTTTATACAATTTGATTTATAATAATGGATGTATTTAACAACTAGCTTTTAAAAAGTCTATAAATTAACATTCTATGCTTGCTAGCCAGTATAAGCTGCTTTCAGCACAGTGCTGAGTTGAGTACAGGAAGCATGTAAGCTGTAATGCATACATATAGATAAGTAGTTGCTCTTCTATGAGAGAGGAACAACAACATAAAAAAAAAAGCAAAATTATTTTGAGGTTGTTGTCCTGAATATGTGTATCTGTATTATCAAAAACTAATTATTAACATCTCATAAAATGCTCCTTTTGTATTCTTCTTCTTTTTTTTTTTTTTTTTTTTTTTGAGACGGAGTCTTGCCCTGTCGCCCAAGCTGGAGTGCAGTGGCATGACCTCGGCTCATTGCAACCTCCGCCTCCTGGGTTCAAACAATTCTCCTGCCTCAGCCTCCCGAGTAGCTGGGATTACAGGTGCAAGCCACCATGCCTGGCTAATTTTTGTATTTTTTTTTTTAGTAGAGATGGGGTTTCACCATGTTGGCCAGGCTGGTCTCAAACTCCTGACCTTGTAATCTACCCCCCTCTGCCTCCCAAAGTTCTGGGATTACAGGCGTGAGCCACCGTGCCCGGCCTGCATTCATTTTTTTGTGCAGATAAGCTTTGACTATAGTTACTGATTGTGTCAAGTTTGAAAAATTGTGACCCCATATTATAATAATTTCTTATGATCTTTATTGGACAATTATTTCCTATAGTTGATTTATAAATGCTTCCTAGAGATACCAGAAAGTACAGATTTAAAATATTCCATTTTTCAGTGTGTAATGTTTATAAAAGCAAGCAAAGTCAAATTTCAAGTGATAGTAATAACCTATGTGAAGCTCAAATTCAGGACTTTCTTAGATTTAATGCCTTTCTTCAGGTTTTGCATGAGCATCTTAAAATTCTGGTCTTGAGACAAAAGCACATTTTATGCACTTTACCTTTCTTTTAACTAATCGTTGTTAAAGACATCTAGAGACATTATAAATGCCCCTTATCTATCATCTCGTAAATAATGGGAAAACATATTTACTAATATAGAACTTCTTCTAAGACAGATCATAGAGACAAATTCTTCCTTGTTACTCTGGCAATGAACAGTTAGCATAAACTCATCACACTATCACCATAGGCATATCGTGACACCCAGAGGCTTTTGTGGCCCAAAAAATTAATTTCTGTTTTGCTTCATATAAATCTAGAATTAGGAATGGGATAATTGAAGCTTATTTTGTGCTTCATGTGATGAGTTAATACTAATTATTGTATAAACACGAAAGGAGAATTTTCTCTACAGAACAGTGACTATCCATTTTCTCTTGTGCCTAACTTAGTAGATGTTCAAAATGTTAATGGTAACCTAAACCTGTTATGTTTTTGATTGACTCATTCTATGTTTTACAGTGTATTTGAGCTGTAGTGACTATGTACTTTTTATAGTTTACTTGATATTGAATATTTTTTCACCAAATAGTGTAAAAGTATATCAGTAGAAAAAGTAGCATTCTGCAATATTTTACTATAATTATAATATTAATTTTTATTTTTATGAAAATATCATTCCTGTAGAACTCAGAATACACTTAATTAGACACATGTGCTGAACAGGCTTAAAAAACCCAAACCACTGAAAAATGCTAAACTGACATTATGCTGACACTGCAGATTGGCTAAGTTTTAATTGTTATATGTGATGAGCTTGTGTGGAAGTGATTCACACGATACCATGATAATGGCACTCAGTGAGCATGTCGATATAAACATAAAAGTTTAACATAAATATGATTTTAGCAAAATATGCCTTGCTAATAGCTTGCGACATATAACTAATGCTATAGCTTTCAAAAATTAGCTCAGAAAAGTATAGCACAGTGGAATATATATTCAAAAAATCCCTTGTAATTAAAAGTCTGAGCTATTTAAATATCTTTTGAAGATGCCTCAGTTTTGCTAAGAATGTTTCTTGAAAAAACTTTTGCTAATTCATTGTCAGCCATCATTTCTTTATCATCAATAACACAAGTCGTGGAATATACTGGCATGTACATTTATCCAAATAGAAAACAAAGTATATATTTTTAAAAAATTAGTTTTTCCAGGACCATTTATTTTGGCTTTTAAAAATGTTTTATTTCAGACAAGTATTTATTTTGCCTATTGTGAAAATTTTACATATTATGAATCTGATCAATGGCCAGACATACTTACACTCATAGTGCTAGTATAATTTTGTATAGTACTCTACTTATAATAAACTTAATGGTGAACAAACAAGTTGATACCTACACTGTTTAAGTTGCAGGAGAAGGGTTTATTCTTTTATATATACATACATACATAAATAGGCAATTCAATAATAGTAGCTAAGAACTGTAATACTCCGCACCAAATAAGAGATAAGGCAACTAGGTAGAAAATTAGTAGCATTATAGAAGTCTTGAACAACGTTATTGACAAACAAATATCAACACTATCAAAAACTAACTGATACCTTTAGGGAATTCCACCAGAAAAAAAGTAGTTGGGTTATAACATATAGAAATGTAATATATCTAACACTAACATAACACAAAGAAGGTGGATTAAAGAAAATCTGTATTACAGTAGGGAAATGACAAAAGATGGTAACTGAAGTACATAGGAGTAAATGAAAAGGACCATAAATGGTTAATAAGGTACCATAACAAACTTTATAATATATATTTACTATAATTTCTTGTCTCATTTTTAAAAAGACTTACATGAAGTAATAATTTTAAAGTTTGTGACTATATTTGTATAATAGGTAGAAAAATAGTAACACACAAATAAGGAAGAAGAGAGAGCAATATAGAAGTAATATTTTTATATTTCAGTGTAATTAAGGTACCCTAAATCTGAAGTTGATTCTGATAAGTTCTGTATAATAAACCCTTGACAAATCAATAAAAATAACTCAAAAATATAGCACAAATGTATTAAACACATACAGAAATCAAATTTACCCAGTGGAATATAAAGTCCAAGTCTGTTTTAATTGTGATGTATGGTCACATGTGTGTAATCTTGAAACTAAATGTGTATTCTATTATTTTATGTGGAGTACCATATAGAAAGGAAGTAAGCCACAGTTTTTGATAGTGTTACTTAAGTCTTCTATATCTGTAGGCTGATCGTGAACCTAGTTGCTCTATCTCTTATTGAATGTGGAGTGTTGACATTCCCATCTATTGCTATTAAATTGCCTATTCATTTCTGAATTAGCAAATATTCCCTTAATGCAAAAATAACAAAAATACAGATGACAGAGAAAGCAAAAATTAAATGGCAGATGCAATCCAATTATTAATAGTACCATTAAATGTAAATAGATTAATCCAATCAAAAGGCGGAGATAGACTGTATAAAAATACCTGATTACACAATATGCTGCTTATAAGAGACATAATTTAGATTAAAAACTACAAGAGAATAAAAGTAAAATGATGGAAAATATGTATTGCAAAAAAGCAAGAAGAAGCTGGAGTGTCTATTCTGCTATCAGACAAAATAGACTAAGAAATTTTACTAGAAATACAGTGGGGTATTTAATAATAACCAACATGTATAAATCTATCAGAAAAATAATTATAAATGGAAATGCATCTAAAAACAGAGCGCTAAAATGCATAAAACAAAAACTGCCAGAGAATAAGAGAGAGATTGATCATTCAACAATAACAGAGTTTTTAATGCTTCGCCTTCAACAGTAGATGGAACAACAAGGCAGAATATCATCAATGAAATATAAGACTATAAGCTTAGTAAACTCAACAGGTATCTATAGAATGCTTCACTTAAGAACAGAGTATACATTCTTCTCAATGTATACATGGAATATTCTCCAGCATAGATAATATGCTAGGCCAAAACCAAGCTTCAATAATTTAAACAGAAATAATATAAAGCATGTTTTTCCACCAGAATGGAATAAAATTAGTAATTAATAACAGAAAAAAATTGGAAAACATATATATATGGAAATAAGAGTACTCACTCTTAAGTAACGATTATGTCAAAGAAGAAAAAAAAGGAAATCAGACAATACTTTGAGGTGAATGAAAATCAAAATGTAATATCATAAAACTTATGAGACTAAGTGAAAGCAGTGCTTACTGGGAATTTTATCAGTCACTATATTAAGAAAAAGAAATGTCTCAAACAAATTAACCAACCTTCCACCTAAAGACACTGGATGGAGAGCAAACTAAAACTAAGGCAAGCAGGAGGAAAAAATAATAAAGATTAGCATAACTTTAATGAAATTGAGGCTAGATAAAACAGAGAAAATTAATAAAACCTAAAAGTGATTCTCTGGAATAATCAACAAATTTGAGAAATCTTTAGCTAGATTTACCAAAATAAATAAGAGAGAAGACTCAAGTTACTACAGTCTGAATTGAAAGAGGTGATATTACTGCCATCCTCACTGATACAAAAATGATTATAAAGACACTACAAACAATTGTATTCCAGAAAATTAGATAACTTAGATGAAATTAGCAAATTTTTAAAAAGACACCAACTACTGAAACTAGTGCAGAAAGTAATAAGCAATAAAAATAGACTTAAAACAAGTGGAAAGATTGAATTAGTAATAATTTTAAAAATACCCACAAATAAATTTCAAGCCCAGATGGCTTTATCACCAACTTCTATCAAACATTTTTAAAGTATATAATACCAATCTTCACAAACTCTTCCAGAAAGTAGTGAAGGTAAGAACTCCAACTTATATGAGGCCATGTGGATTTTCAACTGCACAGGCGATTGACATACCAAATTCCTGCATTGTTCAAAAGTTAACTGTATTATGTTGAGGACTTTTCCTCAACAGATCTACATTCATAAAGAAAATCTGGACCTAAATCGTCTTTCTTTATAAATCTTTGTCTGTTTTGGTTACCAGGATAATGATGGCCTCCCCAAAAACAACAAGTAATAGCATACTGTTGCCTAGAAGCCTTACAGATAACATAAACAATTGACTAACACAAATTTGTATATTATATTTATTAAATACTGTACTCTTACAATAAAGTGAACTAGAGAAAAAATGTTTTTAAGAAAATCATAAAGAAAAGAAAATATATTTAGTATTCATTAAGTGGAAGTGGATCATAATAGAGGTCTTCGTCCTCATTGTCTTCATGTATATACTATGATTATATTTATGCAATTATTATTTAATACTTCACCTTTACATTTGTTTACATTTCTCTTGACTGCTAGTGGTGCCACGTATGGTCTGGAAATATGTCTGTACGTTTTGATAAATTTTAAATTTTGTAATAGATATGTATATATTCTACAGTAGTGAATAATAAGATAGACTAGTATATACATATATTTTATGCATTCATGACATTCCATACTTCTTTGTATCAAAATTCCTTGACTATGTTGACCGTGGGTTTTTTCAAATTATCACAAATCCCCAGATATTTTGCTAATGTATTTGTTGAAAAAAAATCCACACATTTCAAGCCCATGTTATTCAAAGATAAACTCTAATGGCAAACTGAAACCTGCAACTTATAAGAAGAAATATACACCATTGCCAAATGAGATTTATACCTTGAAGGTAATATTGGCTTAATATCTAACAATTAACGAAATTAACACATCACATCAATAGAATAAGAGATAAAAATCAGAGGACCATCTCAATAGACACTGAAAAAGCATTTGACCAAATCAAATGTAATTTCATGATAAAACCACTCAATTAACTAGGAATAGAAGAAAACTTCCTCAACCTGATAAAGAGTATGCACAAAAAAACCCCGCAGCTAATATTACACTTAACCATGAAAGACTGGATTCTTTCTCCTTAAGATCAGAAATAAGACAAAAGTATCTACTCTCATTACATCTATTTAAAATTTCACTGGCAGTACTATCCAGGGGAATTAGATATGCAAAAGAAATAGTAAACATTCAGATTTGAAAGGAAGAGGTAAAACTATCTCAATTCACAGATGAAATGGTCTTGAGTGTAGAATATCTTGAGGAATTAATGACAAATATTAGAACACGTAAATGAGTTCAGCACAACTGCAGTATATAAGATCAATAAACAAACATTAATTTTACTTTTTTAAACTTGAAACAAAGAATCTGAAAATAAAATTGAGAACGATTTTATTTACAATAGTACCAAAATAATAAAATACCTAGAAATAAACTTAAAAACTTGTACTCTGAAAACCGTAAACAATTGTTTAAAGAAATTAAAGACAATAATACGTGGGAAAAATACTTAATGATTATAGAACTGAAAAGTTTATATCGTAAGGTGAAAATGCTTCCCAAATTGACTTACAGATGCAACACAAGGCTTGTTATTTTATTTATAGAAATTAGTGAGCTGGTTCTAAATTTTAAATGTATATAGAATTGCAAGGGACTCAGATTAACGAAGCAATATTTAAAAGGAAGAACAAAGTAGTAAGACACACATTTCCCAGTTTCAATACTTAACTAGAAAGTGACAATAATCAATGCAGTGTTACTGGCAAAAGCATTAGACATGGAAAAAAATGGAATAGAATTGAGAGTCCAGAAACAGAAATATGCATCCATGTTCAACTGATTTTTGACAAGGGTGCCAAGGCCATTTAATGAGAAATAATAGTCATTCAGCAAATGGTGCTGGGACAACTGGACACCCACATGCAAATGAATAAAATGGGATTGTTACCTCATATCATGTTTAAGAAGGTTAACAGATTAAAAATCTGTACATAAGATCTAAAAGTATAAAACACTTAGAAGAAAATACACATACATCTTAATAAGCTTGGATTAGTTGATGGTTTCTTAGATATGATATTAAAAGCACAATCAACAAAATGATAGATTGTATTTCATCCAATTAAATACTTTTCTGTGTCAAAGGATATAATTTTAAAAAGTAAAGAGACAATCCAAAGAATGGGAGACAATATTTGCAATGATTATATCTGATAAAGTAGTTTTATCTTGAAATATATATGTTCAAAATTTAAATTATGATGATGGTTGCCCAACCTTGTGAATATACTAGAAGCCATTGAACTGTACACTTTTAATAGGTGCATTTTATATTCTCATATTATGGTAATTATACATCAATAAAGTGTTTAGAAAGAGAGAGATAGGATGCAAGCAAACTCTCGTTAGGTATTTAACAACAAATCAAACAGGCTCCACGTCAGAGTATATTACAAGAGATAAAGAGTGGCATTTCATAATAATCAAAGGGTCAATCAAAGGGTCAATGTTAAAGAGGAAATAATTAATTTTAGTGTGCATGAATATGAAAGCAGACCTTCAAGACACCAAAAACAAAATATGTAATGTTTATTCATCAATCAAATCAAAGTTATAGTTGTATATTTTAATACTATCATATATTATGACCAAATAGTCATCTGGAAAACATTATATCTAGTATTTTTTCCAAATACTCATGGAACATTCGCTAACGGAGGCCAATATTGGACCAGAAAAATAATACTTAATGCATTTCAAATAATAGAAATTATGTAATATATGCTTTCTGACTAAAACCAAAAAAAAAACAAAATTATATCCAAAATTGGATAAAGTTTGAATAAAATATTTTTAAATGACAATATCAAAGAGTAAATCACAAGAAAATTATAAATTATTTTTTATCTAATATAATGAAAGAAAAAATATATATAAATTAGTGGGAGGAAGTTAAAGCAGCAGTGAGAGGGAAAGGAGTATAATATAAGCATTTATTGATGCTTACATTAGCAAGTGAAAAAATATTTAAAATCAATGACCTAAACTTTAATTTTGAAAGCACAGAATTAGAAGAATGAATTAATTCTAAAGTAGAAGGAAGAAAACAATACATTTCATAACTGACATTAATATAGTTGAAAATTCCCAGAGTTACATATCCAATTCCATAATATCAATGTTGATTGTTTTTCTGGTTCGACTTTCCCAGGGATTTGGCTTCTCAAGCCCAAGTTACTTTAAGAGGTAGCTCCCATATCTATTAAATTAGATATGTTTGCTTGTTTTTATCTAGTTGTTTTTGCTTTTGCTCATTTTTAATAAAGCTGAAGACAAACTGATCATATTGAAATGTTACAACATTGGTAATTCTTTTGTGTGTGATGTTGACTCAGATTAAGTTGTGGTTTATCTAAAGTTAAAACTTTATAAAACATATATTTGAAAGTGTTTATAGTTTTCTTCAGAGGCAGAAAAAATATGAGTTATAATTCTATGAGCGATTATAATTTGTGATAGATCCATCATATTGGTTTTGGCTGTTGTAGAGCTATTTCCTTTCTATGAAGTATTTATTTTTTGACTCAATGAATATATAGTTGGATTTCCTATTTTTTTTTGATAGTAATCAACAGGATGAATTCACATTTATTTTATGCTTTATATCAAGTTGCCAGTTTTTAATTTTCACAAAAATCTTATGAGAGAGGCATATTATTTTTTACTTAGATAAGAAAACTGTGGCTCAAAAAGATTAAGCTTAAAAGTAGTGTAATTACCTATGAATATATGTTTTTATTACTTTAAACACAAGATGTATAGGAAAGACATACATATACACTCACTAACAGAAATGTGCATATACATACATCTACAATGCACCTAAATAAAAATTTTGTGGCAGAACAGCTCTCAGTCAAATTTAAAAGAAAATAAAGTTTCTATTCACCACTACATAATGCAAATTCACTCTCTTCTCCCTTCTTCCTGACTCTCCACTGTTACCCTGAATCATCAACGTCCTTTGTTGTAGTCTATAATTAAAAATATTCCAATTATTTATCTGAACTTCTTATATAAATATTACTTGAAAGTTTGCGACTATTTTTTTGAATTCTAGTAAATACTGGTAAACTGAGTGAATATTTTTAAAAAAGTCTTAATATATTTCTAGTTTAGATAACACAGTTATATTCCAAGAAGTACATTCTAGTAACATAATGCCACAATGTGAAGGGGAGGGGAATATAAACCATTAAATATATAAGAAGAGGTATATTTATGTATAATGATACAAAAGTGATAATATTTAATTTGGCAAAATATCAAGTATGAAATTCACGTCCATTTATTTATTTACCTTTTATTTTACCTGTTTTGGAGTTAGAATAATCACATTGTTGAAGAATGTCTTTAAAATTATTATTTGGATGGTACTCACTGGTTTTCCTGCTGGAAGAAAATGACATTAATAAGCATTTTTAATGAACAAGAATCAGGCTTTAGTCAAGTTTACCATGCTTAGTAAGGTCATACAGATATGTATGATGCAAAAGAAATGTGCATTCAGTAGAAATTATCCTTGGAGTACCCACACAGCCATTCTGTTTTCCACATTCAGTACAGTAGTCAATACATTATGTATTTAATACTTTATTATAAAATAGCCTTTGTGTTAGATAATTTTGCCCAATTATAGGCTAATATAAGTGTCCCAAGCACATTTAGGCTAAACTATAATGTAGGCTAAACTATAATTGTTCAATAGGTTAGGTGTATTAGATGCATTTTTGACTTATGGTATGTTCAAGCTATGATGAGTTTATAAAGATGTAACACCATCGTTAAGTCCAGGAACATCTGTAAATGTATTCTGTAACTTAAAATATCTGCATAAATTTTAGAGTATAAGAAGATTTGTAGGCTGGTTAGTTTAGTCTGTAAAATTCTATTTCACATGTTAAAAGTCTTTTCTGGTACAAGAAAAACTTCCGTAAGCAAAAAAGAAAATACTACTTCTTAGCTTTTTTTAACAGAGGAGGAAAAAGAAGGAAATATCTAATTACAAAGTACCTTCTATTGAAACTTAAATGATTAAATACAAAAGGAAACTCACATTATTGACTCTATTTATTTGTGCTTTCTAGAGAGAAAATCATTGTTGAGGAGTCTAATACAGTATATTTAAAATCCATATATGTCTGCTTGAAACTATGGAAACCATAATTAATTGACTTGGGAATTCACTTTTAATGTGAAATCAAATCTGCAAGGGTTTTTTGTTCTCTTTTTGTTAAACCTCTTTTGGTATTATAGACATTCTGAGTTTTATTTCCAACTGAAGAGACTGTACCAACATTAATGTTTTAAAATTACATTTGACATATATTTTTGTTTGTTTTCAAATACATGCTACCTTTTGATAAATTATCTCTGCTTACCACAAATCCTTCTCTCCTTACCCTATCTCTTTGTATTTATTTATTTTCTTCTGACCTATTTGATTATTAAATATATTTAGATGAAAAGTATGATAGAAACACATCTATCTATACCATATGAGAACAATTTAAAAAATATATCAAAATCATTGTCCTCACAACATGATATCAATACTTTTTCTTTTTTTTTTTGGACAGGTCTTACTGTGTGGCCCAGGTTAGAGTGCCATGGAATGATCTCGACTCACTGCAACCTCTGTCTCCCAGGTTCAAGCGCTTCTCTTGCCTCAGCCTCCCTAGTAGCTGGGACTACAGGCTTGTGCTACCACATCTGGCTAATTTTTGCATTTTTAGTAGAGACAGGGTTTCACCGTGTTGTCAAGGCTGATCTCAAACTCCTGACCTCAAGTGATCCGCCCACTTCGGCCTCCCAAAATGCTGGGATTACAGGCGTGAGCCACTGTGCCTAGCCAGATATCAATACATTTTTAAATGAAATTTGTCATCAACTAAGTATATTTTGATAAAATAGATTTTTTAATGCAGGTGAGCTACACTTATCTAACTAAAAATTTAAAAACAACTTATTAATATTTGGAATGCTACATCACTATGACTGAAAAGCCAATATGAGAAATTTTAATTCGTGTAGGAAAAATTTTATTCATATACTACCTATCTTCAAAAAGAATATATAAATTCACCTCTACACATAATATAAAACCAATAAATACCACTCTTTATTTTCAACAGTAATCTGAGGGCGGTGAGAGAAGAGGTTAGAAAATTAAGCCTGAGCGACAGTGCTTAAAACACAGCTTGCATGAACTAATATTTAATAGAGCAGAAGAAAGCTGGGTGTAATTTTAAAATCCCTCTCTGTTATCTTTAATTTCTTTGAGTTTCCTCAAAACAGCTATTTTACATTTTCTGTCTGAAAGGTCACATACCTCTTTTTTTCTAGGATTAGTCCCTGGTGCTTTATTCTGTTAATTTGGTGAGGTCATGTTTTCCTGTATGTTCTTGATACTAATAGATGTTCATCTCTGTCTGGGCATCAAAGAGTTAGGTTTTTATTGTAGTTTTCTTAGTCTGGGCTTATTTATCCTCATCCTTCTTGGAAAGGCTTTCCAGATTTTCGAAAAGACTTGGTTGTTGTGATCTAAGCTGTATCTGCTTTAGGGGGCACCACAAGCTCATTAACACTGTTTTTTGCAGACTTATATAGGTACCATCTTGATAGTCCTGGGCAAGATATGGAAGAATTCTCTGAATTACAAGGCAGAGACTCTTGCTCTCTCCCCTTACTTTCTCCCAGCGTCTCTTTCTCTCCTTTGAGCTACTTGGAACTGTAGTTTTTGTGACACAAGCATCCCTGTGGTCACCACACCTAGGACAGCACTAGGTCAGACCTGAAGTTAGTATGGCACTGGGTCTCACCCAAGGCCTGCTGTAACCATTCCCTGACTACTTACTGTGTTTACTCAAGGGCCTGGGGCTCTACAATTAGGAGGTGGTAAAGCCAGCCAGGCCTTTGTCTTTCCCTTCATGGTGGTGAGTTTTCCCAGACCTGGAGTGGGTCCAGAGGTGCCTACCAGGAGCTAGGGACTATAGTCAAAAACGTTAGCAGTCTACCTGGTATTTTATTGTACTGCAACAGAGCTGGCACTCGAACCAGAAAGCCCAGTCCTTCCCACACTTCCTTTCTCTTTCCAAAGGCAGAGGAGCCTCATCTTGTGGCCACTGCCTCCACACATCCACAGAGGGTGCTATCAGGCTATGGCCGATGACTCCTTAAGGCCCAAGGGCTCTTCAGTCAGCTTGTGGTGATTGCTGCCTTGCCTGAGACCCGCCCCTCAACCTTCAGGGGAGTGGGCGCCCCTCCGGCCAAGCACAGGTCCAAAAATGTTGTCCAAGATCCAAATCTTGGAATCAGGGACCTCAAGAGCACACTTAGTGCTGTAAACCCCTGTGGCTAAGCTGGTACCTAACGTGCAAGACAAAGTCCCCTTTACTTTTCCCTCTAGTTTTCTCAAGCAGAAGGAATCTTGCTTTGTAGCCACCAGAGCTGAGAATGTTTTGAGTCTCTACTGAAGCCAGCAAGTCTCAGAGTGTCACCCCAAGCCCTTGACATAGTACCAGGGTATCGCTGCTAGTTATTCAGGGCCCAAGGGCTCTTCAGTTAGCAGTTGATGAATTATGCCAGAATTTGGCTCCTTTCCTTCAAGGGAGTCGGTTCTCTTCTTACACAGAGTGTGTCTAGCAACATCATCCAGGAGCTGGGGCCTGGAAAGGGGATCTCATGACTGACTCGTGCTCTATCCTGCTGTGGCTGAGCTGGTATTCAAGAAGCAAGACAAAGCCCTCCCCGCTCTTGCCTCTCATCTCCTCAAGCAGCCTTTCAAGTTTACTTGGAGACCCATAGCAATTTAGCCCATGGTGATGAAGCTTGCAGAAACTCAAGTAAGGGCCACTGAGATTGGCAATTCCCCTCTAGCTAGGGCTGGCTTAAATGCACCCTCTTTGGGTGGGCATCGGCTGAGTTTGCTTTTGTTTTCTTTCTGCTATAGCACTGCAGCAATGAGTTCAATGTCTCACAATTGCTACACTATTCCTCTTCCCAGCACACAGAAATGTTCTCCACACCACATGGACACTGCCAGGGGATGAAGGAGGAGTGGTGTTAGCATTCAAGACTATTTTTTTCTACCTCTTCAGTGCCTCTTTCAGCAATATAAAGTTATAATCAGGTGCTCATCTAATTTTTGGTTCTTATAATGGTGTTTTTTGTAGATTGTTGTTACATTTGTGTTCTTGCAGGTGACACGGTTAGTGGAGCCTTCTGTTCTGCCACCTTGCTCCCCTTTCCTCAAGTACTGTTTTACAGTTTTGAAGAGCACTGGTCAGGTATTTTTCAGAATGTCCCCCAGTTGGAATTTCTCTGATGTTTATCTCATAATTAGACTGGAGTAATATATGGAAATCCTGAGGTGTAAAACATCATCGTCATGACATCATATCAATGATACATACTCTCAACACGACGCATCACCATTGATGTTAACATTGGTCACCTGCCTTAGATAATGTTTTCTAGTTTTCTCCAGTGTAAAGTCACTTTCATTCCCACCCTATCCATATTATATGTGTGTGCAGCTCAGATTTAAGGAATGGGGAGTTACATTCCACCTCCTTAAGGGCAGATTCTCTACATAAATTATTTAGAATTCTTTTGTGTGAAAGATGTAGTTATTCTTCTCTACTCATTTATTTATTCAATAACTCATTAATTTATATCAGTATGAACAAAATGTTTTTGTTGTGGATTATTATCCAATACAAGCTCATTTATTATGTTGCTCAATTTTTTCCAGCTTTAACCATTGATAGTTCTTTTTATTTGCTCTTATAGCCCTTTGATGAACCTTAAAATGATCTGATTTTTAAGGTACTGTCTTACTTTCTGGTGCTATAAGATGCACCAGGCTTGCCTTACGTGTTTTCTTCCCTATTTGTAGAATCAGTCATTTCTTTAAGGAGATGTGGTTTCTTTTATTGAATAATTATAGTAGAAAACAAGATTCAGGTGCTGGGTGTAATCTTTGCTAATGGCATATAATTGCTTTTAGGCTCTCTCACCTGACAGAGTAAAAAGATATAGTTGTGAATACTAACCTTTGTATTATAGACTTACCTATAAATATTTATATATGTATTCATTTCTCTATTATCATATATATATAAATACATACCAATGTCTCTAACATTATTTAATTACCATATATATGATCCCAGCTTCCTCCTCTCTTTGTTAATATTTAACCTCTCACTCCAACAGTAAAAGCATAAACAAAAACAAACACAGAAAACCGGCTTCTACATTCTGTCATACACTTATTAATTACTCAATTTCAATATATATGTATAGTAATTTCAGAATTGCTCACCCATATCCTTATGGGAAATGGTTTTCTAAACTTAAACAGTGCTTCTACACAGTTTCTTTTGCCTTTAGTCCTACAGACTCTTCCATCTCCTTCATTGAGGTCATTTCATATATTTCACATAGTTTTAGTACATTTTATTTTGTCAGATGATTCTGCATTCCATCCCTGGAGTCTTAATCTTCTCAATTATTTAAAAAAATGTTTGTGTACATTCAGACTTACTATTCTTTTTTTTTTTTTTTGAGACAGTTTCACTCTTGTTGCCCAGGCTGGAGTGCAATGGTGCAATCTCGGCTCATCGCAACCTCCACCTCCTGGGTTCAGCAATTCTCCTGCCTCTCCCTCCCGAGTAGCTGGGATTTCAGGCATGTGCCACCACACCCAGCTAATTTTGTATTTTTAGTAGAGACAGGGTTTCTCCATGTTGGTCAGGCTGGTCTCAAACTTCTGACCTCAAGTGATCCGCCTTCCTCAGCCTCCCAAAGTGCTGGAATGATAGGCGTGAGCCACCACACCTAGCCCAGACTTACTCTTAGTGCATAAAATTTTATGAGACTGGATAAATGCTCAATGTTTCAAATCCATCATTACAATAACATACATGATAATGTCACTTCCCTAAAAAGTCTTCTGTAGTTCACCTATTCAAACATTCTCTCACCCTTTCAACTCATGGCAACCACTAATGTGTTTATCATTTCTGTAGTTTTGCCTTTTCAGTATGTCATATAATTGGAATTATACAGTATCTAGCTCTATAGACTGGTCTCTTTCATGTAGCAACATGCATTTAAAACTCATCTATGTCTTTTTGGTTTTTGGTAGCTAATTTATTTTTATTCCTGAATAATATTCTATTGAATGGATGTACCACAGTTTGTCCATTCATCCACTCAAGGACATATTATTTGCTTCCAGGTTTTGGTAATTATGGATAAAGCAGCTATAACCATTTGCAATAGGATTTCTTTGTGCATGCATGTTTTTACACTTTATTTTATTTTATTTTATTTTATTTTATTTTATTTTATTTTATTTTATGCATTTAGTTGTTCTACTAGTTATGTAGTGGTTCTCATTCCAATTTCTAATGACACATGATGTGCAGCATGTTTTTACATACTTCTTATTTACCTTCATTTATAGATATATATTCCATGTTGGGGTGTCATTATATATGTGGATACATATATGTGTTAATAGGCCCCTAGTGTATGATTCTTCTCCTATATGTGTTATCTTTAAAGTAACATAAATACATATTCACATTCTAACTATACTACTTTCAGTCTCGATCACTAGGAGCCATAGTTATCTCATCTATAAGAAATGATATGCTTTTCTCATAGGAGTGTTGTGAAAACATAAAAATTAGCAATTTTATATAAGGCACAAAATAAATGTGAGTTCATCTTATTACTTACAATTCTAGAAAATAAGTCTACACATTTATTTTTTATTTTATTTTTAAATTTTAGATTTGGTGGTACATTTATTAATCTAAACTTTCTTTGAGCCCCAATATAAAAAATTCATGAAAAAAATTAGTTATCCAGTGGGAGAAAACTGTATATAATGTAGATCATGAGTTTGTCTCATCAAATTTTAACTCACATATTTTATTCTGCCTTTGAACAAAAGTGTTACCAAAAATTGTTTCTTTATATATTCAACTTTTGGTAAATCATAACACTTAATCTTTGACACAAATTAAGGTCTTAATGGAGGGCTGGAGACCCTTTTTTCTCTCTCTCTCCTCTGATAAACATTTTCCTTTTACTTTCTGCCACCTCACTCTCTAAATTCTAATATTTCTCTTCTCAACTCATTAATACTCTACACTCCACCTGATATCACCTTTTTTCAGCTAAGTGAATCGTCCTTTTTTAGTGTTGAAATCACCTCCAAGCAGAGAGCCAAGAGGCTTTTAAGGACCCAGTTATTTTTTCCCTTTATCTCATACTTGTACTGCTTAATTTCCATTCTATGGAAAGTCATTTTATACGTTTATCCAGATTTACTATTCTTTGTGTAGGAAGAGCAAATCTAATCACTGTAACTCTTATGGTCAGAAACAGGATGGATTTTTGCATTTAATATCCAACAATAAAAATAAAATATTAATTCTTCTTCAGTGTATCTGCTGAAATACCAGTGACCTTGGAATATTATACACTTAAGCAAACTGTCTTTTCAAGTGTTAGCCAACTGCAGAGTCACATAGTTTGTCTTCTCACATTGCATCTCTTACATTTCTGCTTTCACATTGTGTCTCTTACAAACCAAGACCTATGTTTGAAAGTGTCAGCCAGTCCATTAATAAGAACATTTAATTAAAATGCCAGTTGTGTTACAACTTGTTCCCTAAAAATTTCTAAGTAACTGAAAAATGAAAGTTTATTTCCCAGCTGTAGATTCCCCAGGGAAATTCAGGAAATACCTTTATAAAATCTGGTAAGAAAAAAAAGCAAACAAAAAATTCTATTCCACATGACTTCTTTCATTAAGAAAAAACCTGGAGGAGATTCTTCCAGTGTAAATATGGTAATGAATCCCTTGTAACTATTGCCTGGTGATATTTTGATTCACTGTTTCTCAAATGAAATGTTAAGTCTGTACTTCATTTTTCAAGAGTTATTATTGATATTAGAACTCACATTGTATTATTTTGAATTGGTGGTTGTTTTGTATCATAGAACTAAGGAGATGATAACAGCATAGTTTCAGGAATGACACAGTTTATTGCCATACAAATATAATTTTTTTCCCTTAGGTTTGCAGTGTTTAAAGAGGGGGAGAATTACATGAACAAATCTCACAGAGAATGCACTCAATAGGCGAGGTACATTAACCACATAGTAAGTGTGTTTCAAAATTATTAGTCTACTTGCTAAATCTGAATAAAAGCAGGCCTCTGTGGAAAGTAAAGTCTAATTCAACTTTGAGGTATGACTTTATAGGAGTGGTTCTCAGGAGAGATGATATCCAACATAGTAGGAGATCTGTGAAGGCACTTCAGGTCCTTTGACACAAGAAGATGAGGTTTCTGTTGACCAACAAGACTTCAAAGGTTAACTCAAAGCCTAAAGATGTTGCTTTGCCACTACCTGACCTGTTAGTCCTCAGAGAAGCAGCTGACAATGCAGCCCTATCACAGAAAATGTTCCTGATTTATAGCCAGCTGCAGCCTAAACTCTCAAAGTGTCTGTCAAATTTGGGTTTATATGTATTTTGAAGTGCAGGAGGTGAGGTCAATAATTCACATATGGATTTTTATAAGGTGTCACCTTCTTAAGGAGAATGGGGAATAAACTCCAAGTTCTTATCACGGCAAAATGTATCACTTATATAGCAAACTACATAGGTGTTTGGAATCATTTCAAGGTTATATAACATTGATTATTGGTTTAAAAGTACAACATATGTGTCATGATCAACTGAAAAGATTGTGAACTTTCAGAATCCTATAATTTGGTCTAAATAATAGAAAGTATAAATTATTTTTAAATAAATTTCTGCCACATTTATTAGCTACCACATGGTTAACATGGAATTGAGTTGTTTCTATGAAGGAAGACTTCCACTGTAAGCTTCGAATGAACTAATCCGATCTTGTATATTTACAAATTTAATCATTCAACTTATTAAATTATAAACAAAATTTTAGATGTAAATGTAACAATTACATTTTCTACTTCAATATTATAGAGATTAAATTTGGAGGGCTTAAGTGAACCCAGTTATGGTATAATTTTCTGCCACTTCAATGAATGAGGGGTATGGCATTGAAAATGGTATCATGGGCTGGGCGTGGTGGCTCACGCCTGTAATCCCAGCACTTGGGGAGGCCGAAGTGGGTGGATCACTTGAGGTCAGGAGTTCGAGATCAGCCTGGCCAACATGGTTAAACCCCATCTGTATTAAAAATACAAAAAATTTAGCTGGGATTGGTGGCTCACGCCTGTAATCCCAGCTACTCGGGAGGCTGAGGCAGGAGAATCGCTTGAAACCAGGAGGCAGAGGTTGCAATGAGCCAAGATCATGCCACTGCACTCCAACCTGGGTGACAGAGCGAGACTCCATCTCAAAAAATAATAATAATAGTATCATAAATCAGTTCAATGCCATTTAAGTTGGCTGAAAATTTGGCACAACAAACAAATTGAGTCAATGTTTTTAGACTCAGTGATATAGCTAAGACACAAGTCCAGTTTACATTTGCTTAACAGGTTAAGGTAAAATGCATGTGATTTCACCATAAGAAAAACATTGCAATGGCCCCACATCTTACCATTCAATTTGACATTAGTGAAAACCATGGTAAGAAAAATCACTCCCTCATTTGAGAAAGTTCATCTTCTTAATTTGTGGCCTTAATGTGGTATCAGTTTTTGTGTTATCTGCAATATTCCAGCTGCCATACCCAATGTTAAAGGTGTACGATTGGCCACACTTAAAAAAAAAATATATATATATATGTATATGTATATATTATATATATATGAACTGCAAATATCAAAGCACAACTATTTTTTAAACATTTATTTTAAATTCAGGAGTACATGTTCAGGTTTCTTATATAGGTAAACTCGTGTTATGGAGGTATGTTGTATAGATTAGTTTATCACTCAGGTATTAAGCCTAGTACCCATTAGTTATTTTTCCTGATCCTCTCCCTTCTCCCACCCTCCACCTTCAGGTAGGCCTCAGTGTCTGCTGTTTCCCTCTGTGTGTCCATGTGTTCTCATCAGTTAGCTCCAACTCATAAATGAGAACATGTGGTATTTTCTTTGCAGCCATAAAAAGGAATGAGTTCATATCCTTTACAGGAACACGGATGGAGCTGGAAGTCATCATCCTTAGCAAACACGCAGGAACAGAAAACCAAAGTAAAATCATTGTATGGAAGTACTGCACTGCCATCTTTGAAAATGCAAACATAAATTCCATGACTTCAAAAAATGTTACTCCTGCTGACATTTCAAAGACAATGTACTGAAAGTTTGTAATACCAAACATTTATTTTGGGATTTAAAAGGGAATATATTGTGTGAGGTGCTAACTTATCGGTTAAACACGTAGACCACTTATGAAGCATACTAGACAGTAAATCAATATAGCCTTGCCCTTATCACCGTAATTATTTTGCAAGAAGTAAACATTTACACATACCTGAGAAGATAAAATATATTTGAAAGGAATACAATTGTAAAATAGGATATTCTTTAGCATAGATCATGGCCACGCTTGTAGGAAAACAATACAAATACTGGGATGTATTTTGGTGAACAATAATTTTTACTTATGTCAATTATTTAATTTTTTCATAATCCTAGGTACTATTAAAAGTAAATCTTTATTAATTTATCAGTCATGTATGCTTTTTATAACTGTTAATAAACTTTATTTCTTGCTTTGTGCTAATCATTGTGTTAGACTTTATAGAAGATGTGAAGCTGAATAAAGCACAGAATAACTGACCTGAAATAGGTGTTAAAATACAATCAATGTTTTGAAAATAAAATAATAAATTTTCTGAATCTATTATAGATGTTATGGCGGTGTCTGAGTACCTAACAAATGGATTGATTTAGGAAAAATACACATATTTTGAAAGTGTTTATACAGTAGTGTTCTGCTCTGTGCTCTTCAGAAAAATAGAAAAAATAGGATATATATATTTGTATACATACACATATGTGTGTCTGTTTATTATATATATAGAGAGAGAGAGAGGAGAGAGAGAGAAAAATTATGAGGAATTGGCTAATGTGATTACAAAGGCTGAGAAAACCAAAATTTGTGTTGTGGGCCAGCTGCCTTAAGCCCCAGGAAAGCCTATGGTGCAGATGGATTCCAAGACAGTTTGTTGGAGAGAATTTCCTCTTGCTTGGAAAGGCTAGTCTTTTTGTTCCGTTTGGGCATTTAATTGATTACATAATGCTTATCCACATGATGAAGGGAAACATGTTTATTCAAAGTTCACCAGAACTAGTTTTAATATTAATCTCATCCACAAATACCCTCTAAATTAACACATAAAATTAACTATAGGGATTAGCTACTGTGATAGACACAGACAAGTGAAATAAAAGCAAAAAGGCAGGAGAGGTTATTTTGATCTGGGGTGGCCAAGAGAAGCTTTATACATGAGACAAGATCAAGCTAAATCCTGGGTAGTATTTGAATAGGTCAAGAATGAAAAGAACCCATTCAACACACTTATTTTTCTCAGGAAGATCAAATCAGCATATTTAGTGGAAATAGAGGTTGGGATTATTGATGAAATAATTACTCTCATAATGATAGACTAATTAATTTGAACAGAATTTCTAGTTCAAAAAAATGTTGAATATGGTTTGGAGTATACTAAAATTTGTTCTTAAATTCATCAAAAAGTCTAAGGACTGGGTAAAGATCTGTGAGAAAAGATGAAACCAAATAATTGAGCCCTTTAAATAATTTTATTTTGATTGTGAGCTATTGACGGCTTTAATGTCTTGATAAACCAATTAAAAATGTGTGGCCTGCCAAGGATGAAGACCGTGGAAAACTATCCACCATAGTGATCTGGGATTTTTAAGGTGTGTGCCCTGAGGTAATGGTAAATTTTAATAGCTGTTCACATTTTCTGTCTGCCTTCAGTGCTTTTTTTTTTGTTACCCCTTTTATTTCTTCCTGAGAAATCTTTCTAGAGAATATATCTCATTATGTTCTAACACCCACTTGCTGGGAATGTGAACATTTCTTTCTGTGCCTACATCACATTGTGCTCTTTCTCCCCCTCCATGCTAAGCTATTGAATTCTTAAATATTACTTCTTCTAGGAAAACTTTTCTCTTCTTTTATCCTCCCTAATTGTGCAATTAACACCACAAATAACTGTCTCATAGTCCTCTACTATATGATCAATGTGTTACATTGTAGTGCAATAGATTACTTATTCCTTTGGTTTGCTCAAAATACCACGTACATCCAGAAGGTCACAAACCCTGTTTTTGTAATTGTATCTTGAGTAAAGTGTATTGTCTGATTTAGATGAGGTGCTTATAGCAGACATTCAGTGCTCACTATTTCTGTGCTTCTCCTTATTTTCATATGTGTGTTTGTGGCCATGTGTCAAAATCACACTTAAACTGAACTGGGAAAACTCTCTTCATGACATTGAATCCCTGAGTTACTGGATGATAATTGGATAACACTAAACACCATCTGACGTCGTGTAACTAATAAATAAATTTTGTTGGACTATGCCACTGAAATTTTATGGTCAAAATGATTACAGCAGCATAATTTGTCTTATTCTATTCTAATACCAAGTCTAGAGAATGTTGACAAACACTGTCATTGGCAGTTTAGATTTGAAGGAGTAAGTTCCTGAAACAAGTTCCCATATGACACCGCAGGCAGGTTCTCCACTTTTTAAACCCCTTATCTAATTGTAGAATAATTGGCATTATTTCATCTTAAGAATTTTTAGGCCTCAGATACCTGATATTTCACTATAGAAGGAAAAGTTAATTAACCAACCCCCTGATATTGGATGTTATAAAGTGGACAGGAACATTTCCTATTTTAAAATATTTGCTCTGGTTACATCTTATATTTTCAAAAATATTTTATGATAAATTATACTTTTAATTATAAATGATTTATTCCTAGTTTTGTCTAGAACATTATTATTCTAATAGAACTTATATATAGATCTTATCCATTGCCACTAGGAATAGAACAGACATTCATCAACTTGATGAAGAACATCTACAACTAATACCATATTAAATGAGAAAATATTGGAAGCTTCTCTTTTAAATTAGGGATAACACAAAGAGGTCTTCTATCATCACTTCTATTTGACATTGTACTGGACATTCTTGCCATAAAAATTAGTCAAAAAAAAAAATTTTAGTCCTGGCACGGTGGCTCCTGCTTGTAATCTCAACACTTTGGGAGGCCAGGCTGGGAGAATGGCTTAAGTTCAGGAGTTCGAGACCAGCCTGGGTAATATAGTGAGACCCTGTCTCTACAAAAGATTTTAAAAAATTAGCCAAGTGTGGGGGCACATGCCTGTAGTCCTAGCTACTTAGGAGACTGAGGTGGGAGGACTGCTTGAGCCTGCAGTGAAGCTGTGATCCTGCCACTCACTGCACTCCAGCCTGGATTATAAGCAAGACTCTGTCTCAGAAGAAAAAAAAAAAAAAGAAGAAGAAGAAGAAGAAAAGGAAAAAATGAATTAAAAACCCCTGTCAATTTAGGAAATAAGACTAGAATTTGCTCATAATATCATGTTATATAAAACAATTCAAAGCATCCACCATTAGAGCTAGTCAATGAGTCCAACAAATTTGAAGGACATATCGATATACAAAAACCAATTGCATTATTATATACTGTATTATAGCAGTGAAGACTAGAATAAATTTAACAAGATAGATGCGAGACTTATACACAAATTAATACAAATCACCACTGAAAGAAATTAAAGAAGACCTAAATAGAGAAACATCTCATATTCATGGATTAGAAGTGTTAATAATGTTAAGATGGCATTAATGTCCATATTAATATACAGATTCAATGACATACAATACTCACATTAATTTTACAGGGATTGTGTAAAAATCCATGTAAAAATCCCAGCTGCCTTTTTTCCTTTCTTTTCAGAAATTGACAAACTGATATTAAAATTTGCATGCAGATATGAGAAACCAAGAATAGCTAAAACTGTTTAAAAACAAAAAACGAATTTGGAGTACTCACTTCCTCATTTCAAAACCTCCTATAAATCTACAGTAATCAAGACTTTGTGGTGCTATCATAAGGAAAGTAACAGTGGAATAATGAGTTGATTCAAAATGAGTACCAAGACACTTGAATGGGGGAAAAGATATTTTCCACAAATAATCCTGGGGCAACTAGATATCATCATACAAAATAATAAATTTAAACCCCTGCCTCATACATATACAAAAATTAAGTAAATATGTATCAAAAAAATAAATAGAAGAGCTAACACCATAAAACTCATAGAAGAAAAAAATAGAAGTAAATCTAAGACCTTGGGTTAGATAATAATTTTATAGATGTGACACAAGTGACAAAAGACAAAAGTAAACAAATTCAACTACATAAAAATTAAAAACTAGCATTCTTCAAATGAAACCAACAAGAACACAAAAAGATGTCATGTAAGGTCTGAAACTTAGTCACAATAGTATTTGCTGCTTTTACATATGGGGAAATAAGACAGACATTGAATGACTTAACTCCAAGTTCCCCTCCCTATTCTATTCACAAGGATAAGGTATCCCAGACAAACAAATCGTCCTCTATAAGTGGACCAGATGCAATTCTTGCTTTTTCATGAGTAGCAAGTTTCAGTTCACTGCCAGCCTGTAGAATTATTCAAACTAGCCAATCACATCTTCCTTCAGGAAGCAGGAGTTATCCCACACTTCTGTTACTAAAAAGGCTATCTCACAAAGCCAATGCTTGTCCACTCCATTCCCTACTGTAATCTCTGGGTGGCCATGTACGCTAGGCAGTGCCCTCATACCCTGCGCTGTGTGTCTGTGTGACTAATAAACTTAACTGTCCAGTGAGAGGTGTTGTGTGTTTGGCCACCCCCGTAATTCTCAGGTAAGAATCCATTCTCATCAATAAGCTAAGTAGAAAGTGATTATAACAATTGCTATCATGAACAGAATTATCCAACCATTGCTGTGGTCACCTGGTCAGTTCTAATTAACTGTTGTTCGTTAACTAACTGGTTCCATGGTAGGAAAAGGCTGCCTTTGACAGAACTGCCAATTTCTGATTATCTTGGTTTTGAATGTTGGCTTTTAAGGTACTTTGTTGTCTCTATCTCTTCCTACCCTAAAATACTCTCATACAAAAGGCAAGAATTGTTATTAATTGATGACAGCATAATGTGCAGATGAGTTTGGCCTCTGGTGGTCTTCAAGTCTACCACCTATAAAGGTGGCAAAGACACAGCAGCCTAACTGGTTGGCTATTGAGTCATACTTTCCAAGAATCAGCCTAGAGCTCTCTGGTCAAATGTGTCTAGCCTGGTGACTGTCATTGGCTGGTGGAGAGAGCCACATAGACATTTTTGTGATTGTGTACCCTTGGGATAGACCCAGGCATAGACCTTGGTGAGGATTGTGAAAACAAAGGAGATCACCACCTTGGGAAGAATTAAACATGGCACCCTGGTGCTTAACAAGAGTCATTGTTATTTCAGGTGAGGGTAACAACTTCACATATTTTCTGTGCTGCTGCTTGCCTTGCTGTTGTTGCACACATTCTCCTAAACCCTAAGTGTATTGAGGTACACATCCATGGTGGCTGGTGATGAGAAAGGATCAAAAAACAAGCTATTCTAAAGCAAAACAACTAGCCAAGGTACCTGGGTTTTACTCAATATTGCTACTTATAAGCACATCAAAGGGGTAATCTTGTGATACTGGGGCTTGATGGCCTCTGGCCATGCCACAGGCAAAATGATCTTACCAGAGGTGGAATTCAATCTCAGGCACATTGACTGGCAATCCCTGGAGAAAGTAGGTGGCTGCCCAAGAGGCAGGCCAGGCCACATGCTTCCAAAACTATCTCTGTAACTATGCAGAATGTTACCACTCATGCAAAATTGGATGGAGACAGAAACTGAAAGCCATGACTTTATATGGCTAGAAATCCAAAATATTATAAGGAAATTTATGCAGAGAAAAAATAAAAATAAAATGTGAGGAAAGGAAGGGCCATAGCAAAGGATGTTTGTCATCTAAGTTGTGACGCTCAAAACCTGCTGTGCCATTTTTCTGTTTATGGCTTTGTTTCAACAAAGTTCTGGCCTTAGTGTTATAGGAGAAAAGACCCATGTCAGCCCTGTGGCACAACAAAGGGGTTAATTAAAAATGGACTTAATCCCAGGTGCTATATGTCACATTTTGTTTATCCATTCATCAACCAATAGATACTTGGGTTGCTTGCACCTTTTGGCTGTTGTGAATAATAATGCTATGAAGAAGGGTATACAAATATGTGTTTAAATTGCTGCTTTCAATTATTTTGGGTAGAGTTGCTGAATTATACAGCACTTGTACTTTTAATTTTTTGAGGACCTGCCATTCCATATTTTTTTCCACAGCAGTTGCATCATTTATATTCCCACCAATAAAGCACATGGGTTCTAATTTCTCCTAATCTGTATCAACACTTGTTATTGTATGTGTTTTTGATAACATTCATCCTAATGAGTGTGAAATGGTATCTCATTATGGTTTTGATTTGCATTTCTCTGATGGTGTATGATGTTGATCATGTTTTTATGTGCATATTGGTTATTTGTAAATATTTGAATAAGTGTCAACTGAAGTCCTTCATCCAATTTTCAACTGGACAGTTTGTCTTTTTGTTGATGAGTTGTATAAGTTTTGTATTTATTCTGGATATTAGCTCCTTGTCAACTATGATTTGTGAATATCTTCTCCCATTTTATGTGTTTCCTTTTTACTCTGTTGATAGTGCCCTTTGATTTTTAAAAGTTTTTATAAGTCAAAGGCGTAGTCCAATATATCTCTTTTCTTCTGTTGCCTGTGCTTGTCATATTAAAGGGATCATTTCAGGCAGGTGCCGTGGCTCATGCTTATAATCCCAGCACTTTGGGAGGCTGAAGCTGGCGGATGACCTGAGGTCAGGAGTTCGAGACCAGCCTGGCCAACATGGTGAAACCTCGCATCTACTAAAAATACAAAAAAAAAAAAAAAAAGTAGCCAGACGCAGTAGTGCACGCCTGTAGGAGGCTGAGGCTGGAGAATTGCCTGAGCCTGGGAGGCAGAGGTTGCAGTGAGCCAAGATCACACCACTGCACTCTAGCCTGGGTGACAGAGAGAGACTCTGGCTCAAATAATAATAATAATAAATAAAGGGATAATTTCTAAATTCAATGTCATAAAGCTTTACCCCCATATTTTCTTCTAAGAGTTTTATAGTTTTAGCTCCTACTGTTACATCATTGATTCATTATGAATTAAAAATTTTATATGCTGTAAGGTAAGGGCTCCTCTTCATGCTTTGGCTTGTGAACATTTAGTTTTCCCAGCACCATTTATTTAATGGACCGACTGGCTTTTGCACCTTTAAAACACAAGTTGTGAATTAACTGTAACATCTGTTAAAATGTACCAACTGGAAAACTCTTTTAAATTTAATACTGGGTTTCAAATTACAGTTATACCTGGGAATCTCATTAAATTTAAACATAGTACTGTTAGCAGCAGAATGTATGAGTCACACGGCACCAAAGTATATTAGCAGCAGAACGTATCTGAGTCACGGAGCACCAGAGTATGTTAGTGGCGGTGAATCCATACAGGTCTGCAACAAACTCAATTCTTGCCTCCTCAGAAGCAATATTTCGACTGAGGGGCATAAGGCATAAGGAGAGACTGAGGCAAATTTTAAAGCAGAAGTGAAGTTTATTAGAGAGTTTTAGAGCAGGGATGAAAGAAATGTGTATGCTTGGAAGAGGGCCAATGGGCGACTTGAGAGATCAAGGGCACTGTTTGACCTTTTGACTAGGGGTTTTATATGTTGGTATATTTCTGGGGTCTTGGGTCCCTTCTCCCCTGGTTCTTCCCTTGGGGTGGGCTGTCCACATGCACAGTGGCCTACCAGCACTTGGGAGGTGAGCATGTGCAGTGCATTTATTGGAGTTTTAAACATGCTCACTTGAGACATTCTTCCTTTACCAGTTGAATGTCCCTAGGAGGTCATATACCAGTTATATTCTGCCATTTTGCCTTTTAGTGAATATGCTTGAACCCACTCACCCAACTCCCAAGGTCCCATCAGGAATCTGCCGATCACTAGCCCCTAGGTTTCCTATATCCATTTGGAGACTACCGTTCCCTGATGCCAGCTGAGACCAATTATTATTTTAGAGAAACAGTTTAACAACTACCTGACCATCACCTGATAGTTGCCTGACATTCCTGGTAGTGGTGGGGGCCTCTCCTTCCCTGTTCATGTCTGACTAGCTATCTAATATAACAGTACCTACTATAATCTTAGTGGGGGTTAACTAAATATACAATAGAAGATTAACAGGTATAAGTCACCTTAGTTATCATAAAATTAAATTGTTTCTGTCATTTACACAATAGATTGACAAAATGGTACCCTATAAACCTCAAGGTAAAATAGTCAACATAGCCCAGTATAAATTAAAACAATACATTTCAACAATTGAAATGTATTATATAAGACTATAGTATATTAAATGTAAATCTATTTGGATTTTTGTTCTCCCTTCTTGGCACAGAGTTTCAAAAAATGTTTGATATTTCCTGAGTGATAGAAATGTCCTTTGTTATTTATAAAAAGCCCCTTGGGACCATACCAGAGTTTATGCTAAGAAGGTGACTCTTGGCAGGGTCCCTAGATAACTTCAGGATGGGAGTTGGTTGCCAGAAAAACCAACCACATGATTAGGCAGAAAAAAATTTTCAACCCCACTTTATTACCTTCAAGGAAGGGAGAAGGGCTGAAGATTGAGTTAAATAACTTGGCCACTGATGTAATTAAGCATGTGTACATGGTAAAACTTCCACAAAAAAAAAAAAAAAACTCTGTACAATGAGACTTGGAGAGCTTCTTGCCTGGTAAACATGTTTATGTAATGGGAGGATGGCACACCCCAAGAACACCGGGACAGAAATGTTGTGCTACTGCACTCCCTTGCCTTATGTATCTCTTCATCTGACTGTTTATTTATGTAATTTATAATACAACAGTACCCATAATATAACACTTGCCTGAGAGTTTTGTAAGTAATTCTAGCGAATTATCATAATTTAAGGGAAACCCTACATTTATAGTTGGTCAGTTGAAAGTGCAGGTGGCACCCAGAACTTGGGACTGACATTTAAAGTGAGGGTAGTCTGTGGGACTTAACATTTGGGGTCTGCACTAATTTCAGATAGTCATTATCAAAATTGAATTGAATATCAGGACACCTAGCTGGTGTCAGAGAATTATTATCCGAACACAAGTACCTGATTAGTAAAAAGGTAATTATCCCCACAGCTTTTCCATTTAACAACCTTATTTGGCCAGCTCTTAAACCTGGAAAAAATGAATAGTTTCTCATGGCAGATTACTGCAACTTTAATGTTATGGTCTCATCCACTAAGGCCTCCTATGCCCAATATCACTGAAAATACTGACTCCCTCCAAATAGCAACAGGGAAATATTGTCCTATTATAAATTTGGCTAACACGTTCTGTTCAATTTCTATTTCAATGCCTCTCTGCTGAAGTTTACTTTTCCCTTTGAAGGGACACAATACACCTGTATCATGCTACCTATGGTGTATTTCAGTAGCCTTGCCATTACACACAATTTTTGTAGGCAAGATATTAACTCTGCTGTCTTTTTTTTTCAGGAGCATGAGCATATTACATTGATTACATTCTCCTCTGAGAAGGTTTGTTTGATATGCTGATTAAGGAAATACAAGTACAAGGGAGTTTCCAAAAAAAATAAGTCATTGCTCCATATATAGTGAAAAGCCCTGCCACCTTTGTTAAATTTCTAAAAATCACTTGGTGAACTGAAGATTGCTTCATCCCTGACACTGTCAAGAAAGAGCTATTCATGTTCTCAGCACCCATAATATTTATAAAAGTCCAGCATCTTTTGATCATTTTTGGATTCTGGAGGCAACATATTCCTCCTTTACAAATTTTGCTTAATATTACTGCTATGTGACTTTAAAATTGACAAACTTTAAATGGAAGACTCTCCAACAAAAGAATCTAGAATATGTCCAAATTGAAATCAACAGGCACTCCTAGAGATTCTTTATGAAACTGCCATTGCAAAATTATAACTGAGAAAATTATTACAGTGAAAGAGATCTCACCTGACTCCACCCTGCTTATAACCTCCAAGCTGTCCTTGTTCATTCCCGAGTGTAGGCCAAACTAACTTGGGGAGGAACGTAGTTTATAGTTTAACTTTGAAACAAAGATGATAACAGCCCTTTCCCAAAAAAACCCACTTCCTGCCTGGGAGCTAGACTGCCTTTGTAGAACTATCAAATTAGCCTCAAGTATAGAAATTATGGTTTCGGAGTCATGCAGCTGGAGTCTACAAGATTCTGACCCTCCCCAAATTGCTCCTGGGGATAGCATTGCTGTTGTAAAACCTAAGATCAGTGCTTGAGATATTTTGCAGAGCCTGCACTTGATAGATTAGCTGGCAACACCCAGATCGATAGACTGGCTCATCTGATCTTGTGGTCCCCACCCAGGAACTAACTCAGCACAAGAGGATAGCTTCAACTCCCTGTGATTCATCTCAAACCCTACCAATCAATACTCCTGACTCACTGGCCCCCTACCCATCAAATTGTCCTTAAAAACCCCAGTCCCTGAGTTTTTGTGGAGACTGATTTGAGTAATAATAAAACTCTGGTCTCCCATACAGTCATCTCTGTGTGAATTACTCTTTCTCTATTGCAATTTCCTTGTCTTGATAAATCAGCTCTGTCTAGGCAACTGGCAAAGAGAACCCTTACATTTTGATGTAAGTTGTCCTGGGCTTTAGATGTGAGAAACTGCCCATTAGGCTCAGCACTATGCACCATTACAGTGGCAATTGCTGGTCATATACTGGGTTCCCTGAGAAGATAGGCCCTCACAGATCCTGAGCCTCTAACCCTGCATACCTAGAAGCCCGTTATGCCTTGGATCATGAAAGTGAGACCTCACAAATTTGGCATGGCCACCAAGTCCTACTTGCCACAAGATGAAGCCAAACATGGGTCCTCTGGCACATTTCATCTATTGGAGGTAGTGACCTCTCTTGTCCTCAGTCCCTGGCCAGATGCTATGGTGCTGGAGGAGGTAACCTGTCTACCAGAAACCTTCACTGGCTATGGAGCCCCTTGGGATCAACTGAATGAAAATAATAAAAGTTGTAAGGGCCAAAGAAAACTTCCCCTTTGCCCTCCGAAGTTTTGCTGAAAAATCAACAAACAAAAGGCCGATTAATAGAATAAATGACATGCAATTTTAACATGCTCAGGGAGAACCACAGAGTGATTACTCCCAATCCCAATAGTGTTCATAAGCTTATAAAAGCATCTTGAGGTTTACAAAAAGAATAAAGGATTTGACCACATGTGGTGGCTCACTCCTGTAATGTCAGCATTTGAGGATGCTGAGGTGAGAAGATCGCTTGAGCTCAGGAGTTCGAGACAAGCCTGGGTAACATAGTGAGACTGTGTCTCTACAAAAAATAAAAAATATATATTAGTCAAGCATGGTGGTGTGTGCCTGTCGTCCAAGCTACTTGGGAGGCTGAGGTAAGAGGATTACTTGAGCCCGGGAGGTCAAGGCTGCTGTGAGCTATGACCATGCTACTACACTCCAGTCTGGGTGACAGAACAAGACTCTGTCTCAAAAAAAAAAAAAAAAAAAAAAAAAATGGTGGCTTGAATCATGGCAAAACAGGTTATAGTGGCATTACAAATACTAAACAGAGAGAAGAAGTAGTCTGTTATGTAGATGAGACATCACAGGTAGTGGCCCTTAGAGAGAATAGTTGGTAAGTGTTTCTTTCGAAACTTTAAAAGTTTCAGGCTCTCAGTTAATATTTCTTAGATACGAATGAGAAACAAGAGAAGGCCCTCAGAAAAAGCCTTACTACATCAATGGAGATTTTTTTCTACAGATTCATATCTCTCCCACAAAAGATAGCATTTCAGCAAATTCCAACCTTTTTAAATAGCCATCTTGAAATACGTCAACGAAAATATATTTTGGAGTGAAATATTTTGGTTTCTTTCAAAGTTCATAACACTTTACAGATATTACCACCATGATAGGTGATGGAACTCAGAGAAATGTGACTGCTTTCCATTCTTAACCAGAACATCCCTGTTAAAGGACAAGACCCAAGGATCAATGCAAATGGCCAAACTTCTTGTAGTCACCTTGGCACTGGATGCCCTATCCAACAAATGTCCTGTTTTGCAAATTTTACTAATTCTGGGCCACTGACTAAGAGCTTCCCCCTTTGGGGTAAAGCACTCATAGATTCCTGACTCACATATACCGAAAATTTTAATCAAGTTTATGAATATCTCTAGACTACTAAGGCTGTAAAACAAGGCTTTACCAGGACACTTATCTTTTTGAGTTCCAGATATTAATGATCATGATCAAGGCACTTTTAACTCTCAGAATATACAATTCTGGGTTCTCAAAGAAGGTATTTAGTGGACTTTACATTTCACCTATAGGTCTCAAGCAGAAGTTTAATTGAGAAGTATAATGAAATCCTCAGAGATACTAGTTAACTGACAAATGGCCAAGAGAACCCCAATGGATGTCATTATTGCCAGAGGCATTAATTAATCTCAAATCACATGCCCTGGAGACATGCTCTCCCTACACCAATGTCACACAAGTCCCTCGATTTCTTTTATTGGACATAAAGAGAGATACCTCTAAAATTCATTCTTTTTGATGACTACCTCATTATGTGGCCTTCTTCCTCTATTTCATGCACTAAATTCGCTAGGGATGCACTTGTCCTACTCCCTAAAAGTTTTAGCCATTATTGAGTTTAAATTGATACCAAGGAATCAAAGGTCAATTGTGGGTTAAGGTCTAAAATAAAGGTCCAATATTATATGCCTTCTTGATATCTGGTAACATCATTAGTGTTTCAAATGGCCTAACTACATGTTCACCTCCCCTTCTGCTCCCATGGATAAAGCAGAAAAAAAAAAAATGCACACACACAAAAACAGAAAAAAACAATTCTCGTTATGAAAAGTACCGGCAGTAGTTTCTGTATATTCTTGATAAGTGGATTTCAGTGCCCTACCAGCCTACAGAATTATGCAAAGAAACCAATTACATTCTCCTGCAGCGAACAGGGGACATCCCACCCTCTTCACACTAAAAAATCTGTTTCTCAAAGTTCCTGGTTGTTCACTCTGTTCCTGGATGTAACCCTTGTGTGGTCCTGTGTGTTATGCAGTGTCTTCTCCTGTGGCTGTGCTTGTATGTGAGAAACAAACTGCCCTCGATTTCATCTATCAAGAGTCAGTCATATGTTTGGCCATCTCCATAACTCTAGGGCATTCCTTCCTCACCAACAGAGTTATTAGTTGATGATATAACAAAAGACAACCTACAAAATGTAAGAAATTATTTGTAGACAATATATTTGATAAGAGACTAGTATCTGGAATATATAAAGAATACTGAAAACTCAATAATAAAAAAAGAAATTACTCATTTTTAAATGGGCAAAGGATGTGAATAAACATTTCTTCAAAGCTACGCAAATGGCCAGTAAATACATGAAAAGATGTTCAACATCATTAGTTATTAGAAAAATTCACAAGCACCAAAACTGGTTATGCACTAAGATGGCTATAATAATAAAAGACAATAACAAGTTTTGACAAGGATGTGGATGAACTGCAACTCCTCTACATAACTGGTGGGATAGGAAAATTGTACAATTACTTTGGAAACCTACTTTTTAATTTTTCTAAATGCTAAATATATAATTAGTATATGATCCAGCAATTTCAATACTTAGCTATACATTCCAGAGAGTTGAACATTTATGCTTACACAAAAACCTGATATGATACTTCATAGAAGCATCTTCCAAAATAATAAAAAAGTATACAACTCAAATGTCCAAAAGCTGATTAATGAATAAAGGAATATGACATAGTTATAAATGGGATGGTATTTTGTGATGAAAGGGAATGAAATACTAATACATGCTATAACTTTCCAAAACAATATAACATGGGAAAGAGATATATAATTTGCTGTGGACTCAGTAATTATTCTAAATGACTTTTGTTTTAGCATGTTTAATTTTGTTTTTTAATGCTGTCTGTTAATTTTTCTGGCTTTCCAACCATGCAGTAGCTGCATGTTTATCACCGCAAATCTTAATCATAAGGGCAAATCTTAATCATAAGGGCAAATCTTAATCATAAGAGCACCAGCAGTGATGGTTCTAGGCAGCAGTGCTGTTTTCAGAGTTACATAGTATAACAATAATCTCTCCTTGTTATTACCCCACAAAATCAAGATAATTCAGTGGCAACATAGAGAGTAAGTGCCTTCTCTATTGGTCATATTATCTTACTTTCAGCCTCATTGTTGCAAAGGCCTCAGCAGCTAATGTTGAATATGATGACACAAAATTATTTTGTCAAATAAAGGCATTTGAATTTACTGACTATTTGAATACCTGGAACAGAGGCAGGCAAACTTCAGCCCACAGGCCAACTTGACCTATAAACTGTTTTTGTAAATGTGGCTTTGTTAGAACACAGCCAGGTCCATTAGTTCATAAATTATCAATGGCTGATTTCACATCATAATAGCAGAGTTAAGTAGTTAAGACAGATGATCTGCGCACAGAGCCAAAAATATCTACCCTCTGGCTCTTTACAGAGTAGATTTGCTGACCTATTGTCTACAGTGAGAATGTTGGATCTGTAAGAACCGTAAGAATTGTCTAGTTCATGACCTTTCTTTTGTAAGTGAGAAAACAGCGCCAAATGTGTCAGAAAACTAAGTTGCAATAATCACAACAATTGTCAAAACAAATAGTAAGACAAAATGACAAAATATATTATTTACTAACTCCACTATGTGCCAAGTATGCAATTGGGTAGTTATAAACCAATTTTAAAAGGTGAAATTAGTCCCTAAATGTGCTTAATAAACTGACCCAGAAACATTTATGTTGTACACAGTTGAGCAAACTTGTGAATCTTCCTTTTTCAAAGCCTCTGTTTTATCCTACCAAACCACATTTCCTCAAGAAAATGAATAATTTTCCAAATTTCAAAAATTTCTCCATTAGGCCTACTATTGCATATAAGTAACAACTTTCCATGAAGGATTTTAAGTTACAATGTAAACATCATATACCATAATTGACCAAGGATCAATGATCATATTTTGTTGATTGTCAGATATGGTGCTTCATTATACATTTTAAGTGTTTTTTTTTTCATTTTAATTTTTCATGGGTATGTAGAAGATCTATATATTTATGGAGTACATAAGATATATTGATACAGGCATACAATATGTAATAATCACATCAGGGTAAATGAACTATTTATTACCTCAATCATTTATCCTTTTTGTTACAAACAATCCAGTTACACTCTTTTAGTTATGTTAAGATTAACAATAAATTATTATAACCTACATTCACCCAGTTGTGCTGTCAAATACTAGGTCTTATTTATCCTTTCTAACTACTTTTTGAACCCGTTAACCATCCCCAGTTCCTCCGCATTCTCTGGTAATGATCCTTCAACACTCTGTCTCCTAGGGTTCAACTACTTTAATATCCAACTCCCACAAATGAGTGAGAATATGTGAAGTTTATCTTTTTATGCCTAGCTTATTTCACTTAGCATAATGACTTCCAGTTCCACTCATTTTGTTGCAAATGGAAGGACCTAATTACTTTTTATGGCTCAATAGTACTTCATTGTGTATATGTACCATATTTTCATTATCCGTTCAGATGTTGATGAATACATAGGTTGTTTCCAAATTTTGACTATTGTGAATAGTCCTGCAGTATATGTGAGTGTGCAAATATCTCTTTGATATTGGATATATGCCTACAAGTGGGATTGCTGGATGGTATGATAGCTCTATTCTTAGTTTTTTCAGGACTCTCCAAACTGTTCTCCATAGTGGTTGTACTAATTTACATTCTCACCAACAGTGTAGGTGGAATCCCTTTTCTCCACATCCTCGTCAGCATTTGTTATTGTCTGTTTTTGGATTAAATTTATTTTAACTGAAGTAAGATTATATCTCACTGTAGTTTTGATTTGCATTTTTCTGATTACCAATGATGTTGAGCACCTTTTCATACAATTCTTTGCCATTTATTTATCTTCTTTTGAGAAATGTCTATTCAATTCTTTTGCCCATTTTTAAATTTGATTATTAAATTTTTTCCTATAGAGTTGTTTGAGCTTATTATATATGCTGGTTATGAATTTCTTGCCAGATGGATAGTTTGCAAATGTTTTCTCCTTTTCTGTGAGTTATTTTCTCACTTTGTTGATTATTTCTTTTGCTGTGCAGAAGCATTTTAACATTATTTCATCCCATTTGTCCATTTTGGCTTTGGTTGCCCACGCTTGTGGGGTATTTACTTAAGAAATCTTTGTCCAGTCCAGTGTTCTGGAGAGTTTTCCCTATGTTTTCATTTTGTAGCTTCATAGTTAGAAGTCTTAGCTTTAAGTGCTTAATCCATTTTGATTTAATTTTTGCATATGGTGAGAGATAGTGGTCTAGTATTATTCTTGTGCATATGGATGTCCATTTTTTTTCAGCACGATTTATTAGAGTGACTGTCCTTTCCCTATTGTATGTTCTTGGCACTTTTGTCAAAAATGTATTCACTGTAGATGAATGGGTGTGTTCTCCATTCTCCATTCTGTTCCATTAATCTATGCATTTGTTTTTATTTCAGCATCATACTGTTGTCATTACTATAGGTTTGTAGTATAATTTGAAGTCAGACAATGTGATTCCTCCAATTTTGTCCTTTTTGAAAAAGATAGCTTTGGCTATTCTGGGTCTATTATGATTTTGTATGAATGTCATGATTGTTTTTTCAATTTCTATGAATAATATTATTGGTATTTTGATAGGCATTGCATTAAATCTGTAGATTGCTTTGGGTTGTATGGACATGTTAACAATATTGATTCTTCCAAACCATGAACATAAAATATCTTTTCATCTTTTGGTGTCCTCTTCAATTTCTCTCATCAGTGTTTCATAGTTTTCATTGTAGAGATCTATAACTTTTTTAGTTACACTAATTCTTAGGTATGTGATTTTATTTGTAGCTATTGTAAATAAAATTATGTTTTTTAATCTTTTTCAGATTGTTCATTGTTAATGATTTTTGCTATTGATTTTTGTATGTTGATTTTGTATCCTGCAACTTTACTGAATTCATTTATCAGTTCTAATCATTTTTAGTGGGGTGTTTAGGTTTTTCCAAATATAAGATTGTAACATCTGCAAAAAAAGGATAATGTAAATTCTTCCTTTCCATATTGGATGCCCTTTATTTCTCTTGTCTGATTGCTTTAGCTAGAACTTCCAGTACTATGTTAATAACAGTGGTGAAAGTGGGCACCCCTGTCTTGCTCCAGATCTTAAAGGAAACACTTTCAGCTTTTCTTCATTCAGAAAGATACTACCTGTGAGTCTGTTATGTATGGCTTTTATTGTGTTGAGATGTGTTCCTTCTATACTCAGATTTTTCTGAGTTGCTTTTTTAACTTTTAAGTTCAAGGGCATGTGTGCATGTTTGTTACATAGGTAAACTTGTGTCATCGGGGTTTGTTGTACAGATTATTTCATGACCTAGGTATTAAACTTACTTAGTACCCATTAGCTATTCTTCCTGACCCTCTCCCTCCTTTCACCCTCCACCCTCCAATAGGCCCCAGTTTGTGTTGTTTTCATCTATGCGTCCATGTGTTTTCATCATTTAGCTCCCACTTATAACTGAGAACATGCAGTATTTGGTTTTCTGTTCCTACGTTAGTTTACTAAGGATAGTGGTCTCCAGCTTCATCCATGTTCCTTCAAAGAACTCATTCTTTTTTATGATCTCATTCTTTTTTATGTCTGCATAGTATTCCATGGTGTATATGTACGACATTTTGAAATTCGGTCTATCATTGATGAGCATTTAGTTTGATTCCATGTCTTTGCTATTGTGAATAGTGCTGCAATGAACATATGCATCCATGTTTCTTTATAACAGAATGATTTATATTCCTTTAGGTATATAACCAGTAATGAGATTGCTGAGTCAAATAGAATTTCTGTTTTTAGGTCTTTGAGGAATCACCACACTGTCTTCCACAATGGCTGAACTAATTTACACTCCTACCAAGAGTGTATCAGCATTCCTTTTTCTCCACAATCTCGCCATCATCTGTTATTTTTTGTCTTTTTAATAATTAACCATTCTGACTGGTATGAGATAGTATCTCATTGTGGTTTTGACATACACTTCTCTGATGATCAGTGATGTTGAGCTTTTTTTCATATGATTGTTGGCCCCATGTATGCCTTCATTGGAAAAATGTCTTCTCGTGTCCTTTGCCTACATTGTAATGGTTTTGTTAGTGTTTTCTTTTTCTTGTAAATTTGTTTAAGTACTTTATAGATGCTGGATATTAGGCCTTCATCAAATGCATAGATTGAGTAATGAAAGAATGTTGAATTTTATCAAATGTTTACTCAGTATCAATTGAAATGACCATGTAATTTCTTTCCTTCATTCTGTTAATATAATGTATCATACTGATTGCTTTGTCAATCTGAAACCATTTCTGCATCCCTGGAATAAATCCCACTTGGTCATTATCTTTTTAATATGTTGTTGAATTTGTTTTGCTGGTATGTTGTTCAGAATTTTTGCATCAGTCTTCATCAAGGACCCATCAATGATAGAATGGATAAAGAAAATGTGGTACACATACACCATGGAGTACTATGCAGCCATAGAAAAGAGCTAGCTCATATCTTTTGCAGGAACATGGATGGAGCTGGAGGCCATTATCCTTAGCAAACTAACACAGAAACAGAAAACCAAATATTGCATGCTCTCACTTATAAGTGGAATCTAAATGATGAGAACACATGGACGCATCAAGGGGAACAACACACACTGGGGCCTTTTGGATGGTGGAGGGTGGAAGGAAGGAAAGGATCAGGAAAAATAACTAATCGTTACTATGCTTAATACCTGGGTGAAAAAATAATCTGTACAACAAACTCCCATGACACAAGTTTACTTATATAATAAGTCTGCAATTTTACCCCTAAACTTAAAATAAATGTTTTAAAAAATGTTCATCAAGGGTATTGGCCTGTATTTTTGTGTGTGTGTCTTTGTCTGGTTTTGGTATACGGTAATACTGGCCTCGTAGAATAAGTTTGGAAGTATCCTCTCTTCCTTTATTTTTTGAAATAGTTTGAGTAGGATTGGTACTAGTTCTTTTAAAATGTTTGATAAAATACCACAACGAAACTATGGGGGTCTGGACTTTTCTTTGCTGGAGACTTTTTATTATGGCTTCAATCTTGGTACTTGTTATGGCCCTACTCAGATTTTGGAATTTTCATGGCTCAATCTTGGTAGATTTTAAGTGACTAGAAATTTGCCCATTTTTTTTAGGTTTTCCAGTTTATTACCATATAGTTGTTCATGGAAGCATCTAATGATCTTTTAAATTCCTTCGGTATCAGGAATAATGTCTCCTTGTTCATCTCTGCTTTTATTTATTTGTGTCTTCTCTCTTTTTTTCTTAGTCTTGCTAAAGGTTTTTCAATTTTTTATATATTTTTTAAAAAGTTTAAATTTTCTTAATTTTTTTTTTTTTTGATACATGGTCTCACTCTGTCACCCAGGCTGGAGTGCAGTGGCATGATCACGACTCACTGCTGCCTCAACCTCCTGGGCTCAAGCAATCCTCCTGTCTCAGCTTCCCAAGTAGCTGGGACTACAGTCACGTACAAACATGCCCAGCTAATTTTCGTATTTTTTGTATTTTTGTACGTTTTTTTCAAGTTTCATTCTTCTGCATAGGGCTAGTCAACTATGCCAGCACCGTCTATTTAACAGGGAGTATCTTTTATGGAGTGTCTTTTTCCATCTCTTTAGTTTTAGTCTTTGTGTGTCTTTATAGGGGAAATGTGTTTCTCGTAGGCAATAGATTATTAGGTCTAGCTTTTTAAAAATTCATTCATCCATTCTATGTATTTTGATTGGAGAGTTTCTTTTATTTTTAATGTTATTATTGATAACGAAGGAATTACTCTTGCTATTTTGTTATTTGTTTTCTAGTTGTTTTGTGGTCTTCTCTTCTTTACTTCCATCTTTCCTGTCTTCCTTTCAGGGAAGATTATTGTCTCTGGTGGTATGTTTTAATTTATTGTTTTTCAATTTTGTTTACCTGTAGTATGTATTTCATGTGAGGTTACCATGAGGCTTGCAAATACTATCTTATAACCCATTATTATAAACTGAAGAAAATTTAACATTGATTACATAAATAAAAAAGCAAAAGGAAAATTTATAAAAACTCTATATTTTAACTTAATCCCTCCACTTTTTAACTTATTGTTGTTTCTATTTAATTCTTATTTTACTCCCTATGTATTGAATGGTTTTATAGTTATTATTTTTATCATTTCCTCTTTTAGTCTTTCTACCCAAGATATGAGTAGTTTACACACCACAATTAAAGTGTTATAATATTCTGTGTTTTTCTGTATTCCTACTATTACTGGTAAGTTTTGTACCTTCAGACAATTTTTAATTGTTCATTAATATCCTTCTGTTTCAGATTGAAGAACTCCCTTTAGCATTTCTTGCAGGACAGGTGTGGTGTTGATGAAATTCCTCAGCTTTTGTTTTCCTGGGAAGGTCCTTATTTCTTCATGCTTAAAGAATATTTTCACTGTATATACTAGTCTAAGGTAGAAGTTATTTTCCTTCAGCACTTTCAATATGTCATGTCACTCTCTCCTGGCCTGTAAGGTTTCCACTGAATGTCTGCTGCCTATTGGAGTGCATTGTATGTTATTTGTTTCTTTTCTCTTGCTGCTTTTAGGATCCTTTATCCTTGAGTTTTGGGACTTTGATTTTTTTTTTTTTTTTTTTTTTGACGGAGTCTCATTCTGTTGCCGGGTTGGAGTGCAGTGGCGCAATCTTGGCTCACTGCAATCTCTGCCTCCTGGGTTCAAGCGATTCTGCTGCCTCAGCCTCCCGAGTAGCTGGGACTACAGGCATGTGCCACCACGCCCAGCTAATTTTTGTATTTTTAGTAGAGACAGGGTTTCACCATGTTGGCCAGATGGTCTCAGTCTCTTGACCTCATGATCTGCCTGTCTCGGCCTCCCAAAGTGCTGGGATTACAGGCGTGAGCCACCACGCCCTGCCAGGACTTTGATTATTAAATCCCTTGAGGTAATCTTCTTTGGGTTAAATCTGCTTGGCATTCTATAACTTTCTTGTACTTGAAGATTGATATCTTTTAATAGGTTTGAGAAGGTCTCTGTTATGAACGGCTTGAATAAACTTTCTATCCTTATCTCTCTCTACCTCCTCTTTAAGGGCAATATGTCTTAGATTTGCTGTTTTCAGGCTATTTTCTAGATCTCATAGGTATGTATTTTTCTTTTTCTTTTTTCTTTTGTCTCTCTTGACTATGTATTTTCAAATACCCTGTCTCCAAGCTCACGAATTCTTTCTTTCTTCTGCTTGATCAATTCTGCTATTAAGAGCCTCTGATGCATCCTTCAGGATGACAGTTGTATTTTTCAACTCCAGCAATTCTGCTTGATTCTCTTTAATTATTTGAATATCTATTAAACTTATCTGGTAAAAGTCTCAATTTCTTTTGTGTGTTATGTAGAATTTCATTGAGTTTCCTCAATAAAGGCATTTTGAATTCTCTGAAAGGTCACAGAACTCTGTTTCACCAGGATTTGTCCCTGGTGACTTTCTATAGTTATTTTGGTGAGGTCATGTTTTCATGGATGGTCTTGATGGTTGTGAATGTTCATCAGTTTTTGAGCATTAAAGAATTAAGTATTTATTGTAGTCTTTGCAGTCTGAGCTAGTTTATACCTGTCCTTCTTGGGAAGGCTTTCCAAGTATTCAAAGGGACTTTGGTGTTTTTATCTAAGTTTTTGGTCACTTAAGCTGTATCTGCATCATAGTGCACCCCCAGCCCAAAAAGACTGTGGCTTTTTCATACTTATAGAAGTACTGCCATGGTGGTCTTGGATAAAATCTAGGAGAATTATCTGAATTACTAGGCAGAGACTCTTGTTCTCTTCTCGTGCTTTCTCCAAAACAAACAGGGTCTCTCTCTCTCTGTGCTGAGTTGCTTGGAGCTTGGGGAGGGGTGACATAACCACCCCTGTGGTCAACATCACTGGGACTGCTGTGTGGGACAACACAGCACTGGGTCTTGTGCAAGGCCCATTGTAATCACTATCTAGTTGCTGCCTTTGTTCACTTAAGTCTCTAGGGTTCTACGATTAGTAAGTGGTGGAATCAGCCAGGCTTGCTTTTTCCCTTCATGGTGGCCCAGGACAAGTTCAGGAATGTTACCCAGAATCTAGGGTCTAGAGTCAGAGGCCTTAGAAATCTACCTGCTGCTCTATTCGTCTGTGTCTGAGCTGGCATGCAAGCCACAAGACAAAGTCTTTTTCACTTTTTCCTCTTCTTTTCAGAAGCGGGGATTCTCTCCCCATGCCCTCCATCCCCACATGCCCACAGGGAGTACTGCCAGGTGACCAGCAATATACCCTCAAGGTCCAAGGGCTTTTTAGTCAGCTAGTAGTGAATGCTGCCAGGCCCGGGATTCACCCTTCAGGGAAGTTGGCTCTACTCTGGCCCAAGAAAGGTCCACAAATAACATCCAAGAGCCAAAGCCTAGAATTGGGGTCCCAAAAAGTCCACTATGTGCTCTACCTCACCGTGGCTGAGCTGGTACCTGAGGTGCAAGAGAAAGACTCCTTTTCTTTCTGCTTCTCAAGAGCAGAAGGAGTCTGTCCTCATAGCCACCACATCTGTAAATGTTCTGGGTCACACCTTAAGCTAGCAGGTCTCAGAGTCCCACCCAAAGCTCATGCCAGGTACTACTGGACTACTGCGATTGTTTATTCAGGACCCAAGAGCCCTTTAGTCAGAAGATGATGTATACTATTAGGACTGGGTCCTTCTCTTCAAGGCAGCGAGTTTCCTTCTGGCTCAGGGTATGACTAGAAATGTCATCCAGGACCTAGAGCCTGTAATGGGGACCTGAAGACTCTGCCTGGTGCCCTATTACTGTGGGTGAGCTGGTCTCCATGTTGCAAGACAAAGTCCTCTTTACTCTTCCCTCTCTTTTCCTCAAGTGGGAGGAAGGAGTCTCTTTAAGAGCTGTGAGCTGCATTGCCTGGTATTGGAAGTGGGGTGGCGGAAGCATTCCCTTGGCCATTCCATTGTCTCACTAGGTTGTGTGCCCCCAAAGTACAGTGGCTCCAAGCCCAGCACAGCACTAGGACTTGCCTGGGAGTTGCAGGCTTTGTGGCCTAGAATGCCTTTCAAGTTAATTAAGTACTCTACAGGACTTTAGTTTACAGTGGCTAGTCTTGCCAGACCTCAAGTTAGAGCCACTGGGATGGATGATTCCCCTCTGCTTAGATATGGTCTAAATGCTCCCTCCACAGGCATTGGCTGAGTTCTGTGTGATGTTGCTTTCACTGTGATAGGACAGCACTGAGTGCCAATGCAAAGTCTCACAATCACAATTCTTTTCCTCTCCCTAGAGCACAGATTGTCTCTCTGGGCAACAGGGCTGCTGCTGGTTGATGTGGTAGGGGTGGCATCAGCAACTCAAGATTATATTTTCTGCCCTCTTCGGTGCTTTCTTCAATGATATAAAGTTAAAACCAGGTACTGTGGTTACTCACCTGATTTTTGGTTCTTATTAATGTGCTTTTTTGTGTAGATGTGAAATTTGGTGTTCCTGCAGGGAGGACAATTGGTAGAGGCTTCTATTCAGTCGTTTTGCTCCCCTGGGCATTTCATCATATATTGCAAGTACTTTCATTCTATTTTCAGTAAAGAAATTATCTATAAAGAAAGTTCATTGGTAAGAAACAGTTAAGAAAGAAATATTTAATTTTAAAAATATGAGTTAGAGAAGGACAAATATGGCTGAACAACATTATTTGAGAAATATGTTTTCTGAACAAAGTAATTTGCTGCATCAAGGTTTTCAAATTATTGAATCATGATGATTATCCACTTATACTTAACAAAATGTGAACATTTTAAAAATTTTATTAGTAATAAAATAACCTATCAACCAACAAAATCCCCCGGCTTCAAAGATTCATAGTTTAATTGAGCAAGAGATGGAAAGAAGAGCTTGTACCAATCCTGCTGAAACTATTCAAAAAGTTGGAAAGAAAGGATTTCTCATTACCTGATTCTATGAAGCCAACATCACCCTGATACCAAAATCTGGCTAAGATACAACAAAAAGAGAAAACTAGGGGCCGATATCCCTCATAAACATAGACATAAAAATCCTCAACTAATTCTAGCAAACCAAATCTGGCACCATGTTAAAAAATAACTCACCACGATCAAGTAGGCTTCACTTCTGGGATGCAAGGTTGTTTCAACGTATACAAATTAAGAAATGTGATTCACCACATTAACATAATTAGAAAGAAAAACCATATGATCACCTCAATAAATGCAAAAATGCTTTTCGTAAAACGTAACATCCCTTCATGAAAAAAGCCTTCAAGTAATTAGATATCAAAGAGACTTAAAATAATAAGAGCTATCTATGACAAACCCACTGCAAACATCATACTGAATAGGCAAAAACTGGAAGCATTTCCCTCGAGAACTGGAACAAGATCCCCACTCTAATCACTTCTATTTAACAAAGACTGAATGTTCTCACCAGGGCAATCAGGCAAGATGAAAATATAAAAGGCATGCAAAAGAAAAAGAAGTCAAATTATCTCTCTTCATGGACAATATAATTTTATACTTACTAAAACCCTAATGACTCTGCCAAGCAGCTTCTGGAACTGATAAATGACTTCATTAAAGTTCAGGACAAAAAATCAATGTACAAAAATCAGTAGTGTTTCTATACACCAATAATGTTCAAGCTGAGAGCAAAATCAAGAACAAAATCGAATTTACAGTAGCTTCAAAAATACCTAGAATTGTATCTAATGAAGGAGATGAAAGATCTCTATAAGAACTATAAAACATTGCTGAACATAATGACAGATGACAAAAACAAATGGAAAAAACATTCCATGCTCATCAATTGGAAGAATCACTATCATCGAAATGGCCATACTGTTCAAAGGAACCTACAGATTTGATGCTATTCCTATCAAATTACCGATGTCATTTTTCATGGAGGTAGAAAACATTATTCTAAAATGTGTATGGAACAACCACAAAAAAAGAGCCCAAGTAGCCAAAGCAATGCTAAGCAAAAAGAGTGACCACATTACCTAACTTTAAACTATACTAAAATGCTGCAGTAAATAAAACAGCATAGTACAGATACAAAAACAGAAGCATAGACCAATGGAACAAAAAAGAAAGCTCCCCCACCCCCTGCCAAAAAAAAAATAGCTGTACATTTGCAGCTATCTGGTCTTCAACAAAGTTGATAACAATAAGCAATGAGGAAATAACTCCTTATTAAATAAATGGAGCAGGGATAGCTGGCTAGCCCTATGCAAAAGAATGAAACTTGACCCCTACCTGTCACAATATACAAAAATTAACTCAAGACAGATTAAAATCTTAAATGTAAGACTTCAAGCTATAAGAATCCTAGAAGAAAACTTAGGAAATAGCCTTCCCAAATTGGTTTTGGGAAATAATTCTGGATGAAGTCCTCAAAAGCATTTGCAACAAAAACAACACTTGACAAGTGGAACCTAATTAAACTGGAGAGCTTCTGCACAGCAAAATAAACTATCAACAGAGTAAAAAGACAACATGCAGAATAAGAGAAAATATTTGCAAACAATGCATCTGACAAATATCTATTATCTAGAATTGTTAAGGAATCTAAACAATTGAAGAAGAAAAAAGCAAATAACCCCAATGGGCAAAGGACACGAACACTTTTCAAAAGAAGACACACAAGCAGCCAACATACATATGAGAAAAAGGCTAAACGTCGCTAGTTATTGGAGAGATGCAAATCAAAACCACAATGAAATACCATCTCACAGTAGTCAGAATAGCTATTACTAAAAAGTCTAACAACAATAGATGCTGGTGAGGCAGTTGTGAAAGGGGAATGCTTATACGCTATTGACAGGGAATATAAATTAGTTCATTAGTTCAGACACTGTGTAAAGCAGTTTGGGGATTTCTCAAAGAAATTAAAAGAGAACTACCATTCAGCTAACCAATCTCATTACTGGGTATATATCCAAAAGAAAATAAATCATTCTATGCATTTGTAGGTCCGTTGCAGCACTAGTCACAATAGCAAAGACATGAAATCAACCTAGGTGCCCATCAACGATGGAATGGATAAAGAAAATATGGTGCATATACACCATGGAATACTACACAGCCATGAAAGGGAACAAAATTGCATATATTGCAGTAACATGGACGCAGCTGGAGGCCATTATCCTAAGCAAATTAACACAGGAACAAAAACCAAATACCAGTGGGTACTCACAGACATAAAGATGGCAGCAATAGACACTGCAACTACTATACAGGGGAGGTAGGGAGGAGGGCAAATGTTTTAATAGTGTTTTGTTTTTGTATTTTCTCAATGTTTTGTTTTGAAACTTTAAAATTACATACATAAAAAGATTAGGATAATGAAGCCCTTGCATACCCTACACCTGAATTTGCCAATTATTAAAACTTTCAACATTTGCTTTATCTATATCTATGCATGCATGTATTATTTTTTCTTTTTTCCCCTGCCCCAATATATAAATTCTTACTTCCAAAAAATAATTTTTACTGTACATAAAAACTACTTCACAAAACGAGAATAAAAATATTTTTAAATGTCACAGACAAAATGTGTAGATATTGTAAGCCACAATATGTACTTTCACTGAAATAAGGAAATGAGAGACATTGTTTTATTATCTTGATGCTGAGTAATTGTATTTTAACAGTTTACAATTTTTGTCTCACTTGCTTTTTGAATTATTATCTTAGGTAGCACTTTAAGAAGAAATGACATATTCACAACTAATACAAGTTCATTATTCAATCCACTTGAAATGTATCCAACCACCCAAATGTAATTTGCTAACATATAGAGACTATCCACCAAATTGGGAATATTGCTTTTGGAGGTGAATTAATTTGCTGTTACCATTGACAGCAATGTGTGCATTTCATAAAAATTTAATGAAGAAAGTTTGGTATCTTAACATGTGAAATGTGTTTGCTTATTCATCTCATAAATTCTTGTGGAAAGAGGTTTTTTTCTGACTGGAGTAATTTCCACTCTCCTAGTAAGATAACATAGTACTGACTTTGGTGTTGTCCGTGAGACAGGTTCATCAACATTCATGTGTCCCCTCTCTAACACAGATTCTATGTTCACCACATATTAAGGATTTATGCTTGGGAAATTTTTAGCAGGATTGTTAATCTGATTGTACAAGCCCTGAAAATCATGTTTACCTATATTACACCTATCTCGCCTGTGCATGCTCACTTAAATATGTTGCACTTGAAAATTTTTTTCTTTGTTGACAAAAATTGCCTCTACCACTGCTATGATTCACTACTCTCATTTTGTGTATCCTACTGGGAATAAAGTTCTTATTTTCTCACCCCATAAAGGTGGCATAATGTGAGAGAAAGACCACCCATATTACTGCATCCATTTTTACTGAGAAAAGTTTCCCATTGTAGACATTGATAAAATAAAAACCTCCACCAAATTAAATTTTAAAAGAGTTTAATTGAGCAATGAATGATTCACAAATTGGGCAGCCTTCTGAGCCAGAGTATGCTCAGAGACTCCAGCACAGTCATGTGGGGGAAGAAGACTTATTGACAAAAAAAAAAAAAAAAGAGAAAGTGACGTACAGAAAATGGAAGTGAGTTACAGAAACAGCCGGATTGGTTACAGCTTGGTGTTTGCCTTATTTGAACACGGTTCAAACAGTTAGCTATATTTGATTGGCCCAAACTCAGCAACTGGCACAAGTGTAACCTATGGTCTGTTTATACTTCCACTGGTTATAGTTCACAACTTACAGAGGAAACTTTAGGCTGAACTTAAAATATGGAAAGAGGCAGCTTTAGGCTAAAATTGATTTAACAATTCCCTCCTTTTGGTCATCTTCTCAGTTTTGAGAGATTGATTGAAACTTTGCTCATTGATGTCACTATCACCATTGTAAACGTAGTTATTTGGTCTTGAAACCTACTGAAAAACAGTAGAAGAGTGGGTTTTGCAAGGTGGGAACAAGGCCTTCAGTTTTTTGTTTGTTCGTTTGTTTGTTTTATGGGTTAGAGTAGATGGTACTTACTTATGGGTGAATGTCCTGTTTACAGGAGAAAAAAAAAAACCCAAAACTGGGTCTGTTCTAGGATCTTTGTGTTTCCTTAAAATCTTAGTTTGATTATGCCACATTTAGCATGAGTGACTTCATTTTGATTTGGTCTGGGGCCTAGTACATGAGCTCAGTCCAAAACAATGGCCTCCCACAATTTTGTTTAAAAATTTCCCCTCTTTGGTCAGGTTCTTACTTAGGGAAGAGCGTGACCAAAATGTAGGGCCTTAGCATCACTCTCAGTTACCATCATTTTGCATTTCCGGTCTCAGCGTGTCATTCATAGGTTATGGCTCCCTTATGGTCACACATTTTTTTCAGCTTTTGTCATTGCAGTTGAAGAGAGACCAGTTGACATTCTAGAGATTGCTACATGGAAACATTTAAAACTTTTGGGAGAATACAGCACACCAGCAGAAATACTATTATGACTATTAGGAGGATAATATCAAGAGTTTGGAGTATGCTCCTTATTTAGGATCCCCATAAACCAAACCATCTAAAATTAAATAGATCAAAGAATGAGCTAGATAGAGTTTGCTCACTTAACTAAGCAGTCTCTTTGTTAATCCCCTACAACCGAATCTCTCTAATACATGATGTGACGTATTTCTTTATAGGTCACAAGTGACAGAGGCTGTACAGATACTTCTCTGTGACAAAGCATACACATTAGCTACTCTGCTTAGCACCCAATATCAAACTGGGATGGCTTGATCTTTCCCCTGGTTGGGCTCTGTCATCTTTGCCTCCAATGAGGAGTTGCAACATGTGGTCTCTGGGCAAGATGGTCACCCTGAATAACAGAAAAAAGAGAAAAGGAAAAGGAGAGAAAGAGATAAAGAAAAGCATTGCCTGTGGTGGGGTGGGGAAGGCAAAGAGCTCAGGGAGGCCAGAGAAAGACCCATCCATTGCGGAGATACTGAATCAAAAGTTCAAGTGGCTACTTGTCACTTGCTGGAAGTGATCTTTTCCAGCAATCCTATAAGCTCTCAAGTTTCCCCCTTTGGGGAGAAAAAAGTTCCCCATGTCCTATGATCCTGTACATGCCTAATCCTGTCACCCATAGCCATCAGCAAAAAGTGCAAGGCCGATTAATCCAAAGAGAATAGGAGTTAACATCACATAGTGCCAAATCCGTTTTTAACCAAGAGAGATTTTAATGAGGGGAGGGCCTCTAACTCCCTATGTCTTAGGAGGGAATCTAAACTTCCTAAGTTGGGCCTCAAACTCAATTCCATTCTTTGCCCAGGTCAAACGTACCCCACTACTTACCAAAAGTCAACTAATTGGTACTGAAGTCGATTTCCTTTGGATCGGGATAGTAACTAAGCCAAAAAGTTAGCAGATTTAATTTTTTATATTAAGTAATTGCTTAAGCTTTTTATTTGCCTTTTGTAAAAGCTTTAAATAAAAATATTGAAAAAATTTTAGAAGTTTCTGCATATCATTAGGCATCCTTAGATGAGACTAATTTGGGAGGCTTCATTTTTTTTTGGAGTTTTCCACTGTAAGTTATCTTTAGTAACATTTTGCCATTTCTGTAAGACTTTGCTGCTTCCTGGGCCTGATACTTATGCATGTGTGAGCTGAAGGAACTCAGTTCTTCAGAAATTAAGGATCCCATTTTTACTTCAAATATTGACTTTGCTCTCATGTTCCCCTTCTCAACTTAGCCAGTGATTTTTTGCCTAAGTACACAAGAAGAATGAAATAAAGGGGTAGAAAACAAAAATTCCTGTGAGTTTTCCAAAGCCAAATTTAACACCCCCTGCAATATTGCCATTTACTACTGGTTTCTTTGACCCAGTCAGATGTAAGAGGCCTCTAACTGGATCCAAGCCAGTTAATTACCAGATCCAATCTGATCCTGGGCCCAGTCAAGTTTCTATTGTGACTTCCAAACCCAGTTTGGATCAGAAATTTGCTTGAAGAAACTCAGAGAGCTTAAAACCCAAATCCGTAGAGCCTCAGAATCTAGCAGAGATCTTACCACGATTCCTAGCTTCTCTGAGAGAGCAATGAACACAGTGAGTTTGGCAGGTAGCTTGCTTGGTCACTCAGCACTCCTGGGGGTTGTTTGAAACTCTATTATGGATCCCACTTCATTGAGCAATGAACAATTCACGAATCAGGTGGCCTACCAAGCCAGAGTATGCTCAGAGACTCCACTGCAGCCACGTGGTGGAAGATTTATGGGACAGAAAAAGAAAAGTGACGAACAGAAAATGAAAATGAGGTACAGAAGGAGCTGGATTGGCTATAGCTCAGCATTTGCCTTATTTGAACACAATTCAAACAGTTGGCTACATTTGATTGGGCAAAACTCGGTGATTGGCACAAGTGTAGGCTATGATGTGTTTACACTTCCACTTTTTATAGTTCACAATGTGCAGAGAAACTTTTAGGACAAACTTAAAATTTGTAAGGAGGCAGCTTTAGGCTAAACTTGATTTAACAACACTACATTTATTCTCAGAAAGATGTTTTGGTTTCAGTAAAAGGGTTCATTAGTGTGTATGTGTGTATGAATTTTTATTTTTTGGTATTATAGCACCTATAGCCTAATATCAAAATCAATGCTAAAGTAGTTTTATTGTTATATAAAGCTTTAGAAAAGAAAAATATTTTGCCAATCGATGAACTAGGTGCAGTCCTCAAAAAATGTTAGCAAAACAATGTAATTATGTTTTCTCTAAAAAGAAATTGTGAAGGAATAGGTTGGTACAGAGATCTTATTTAGGAATACAGTCCTTTAGCAACTAATTTGCATGTGATTCTTTGGATTCAACTGATGCTAGAATCTCTATTTTTAAAGAAATGGTTTTGCTTGAATTAAAATGATCTAAGACACCAATTTGTGTTCACATATATAAACAAATATATATTCACATTAATTTATAGGCTTAATTTCTCATATGACTATAAAGAATTATTCTGAGTCACATATCTCATAGGTTCCTTTCTCTTTTGATGTAATCTATTTTTGGTATATTATTAAACATTAAGTAATAACTGTGAGACTATTTTCTCTTTTCCCCAAATATACAATTCATTTTTCATTTGCAGTTCTTATTCACTCCCTCTTAACTCCAACAATAAGCAACTCATAAAATAACTGCGATTAAATTTTATCAATCAATACATCAGCATTCTCTTTAGCACTTGAATTATAAAATAGATTATTGAGAGAGAGACAACTTGTTTTCATACATCTGTCAGTGATCACTGGAAGTGAGGCTACTGGGCAATTTTTATAACACCCTGATATTACCTAAAATAATAACTATTAATATGAATGTGTGCTTAATTAAAAGATACGAACGCTTTTTAAGTCATATTAACCTAAAATCCAATCATTATAGAAGTCCCAAGCATAGATTTTTCACGTAAAAGTACTAAAATGAGGCAAAATTTATATCTTTTTTTTTAGATTCTAAATACCTTCAAATAAGATATATGCAATTTTTCACTTGAAAGATCTTAAAAGCAATCAGAGAATGTTCTCTAAGGAGAGTGGGTATTGACCTGATATTTCAGGATTAGAGTACCTTTTGAATTTGAGGGATAAAAGGAGTAGATCATAGTGTAAGGATCAAGGGGACAAAGATAGGGTTGTTAGACATTTAGAAAGTTAGACTATCAGACACTATCAGGAGAGAGAGACAACTTGTTTTTACACATCTGTCAGTGGTAACTGGAAATGAGGTTAGTGGGCAATTCTTTTACAACACCCTGATATTACCTAAAATAACAACTATTATTATAAATGTGTGCTTAATTAAAAGCTATGAAACTTTTTATGTCATAGTAACCTTAAATGAAATCATTATAGAATGTTTTAATTTTCTTAATATGGAACTTAAAGTTTCATAATTTCCTTAATATCTGAATCAATTCTGACTCTGAACTCAAGGATAATTTTGCTACACAAGTGGTGACTATACATAAGACCTGGTGGAAGCATTGTGGTTAGCATACCTTGTAGTGCTATTTGATAGTATCCCATGTAGAGAATGCACTTGGCATTTGAGGTGTATTCTGACCAGACCAGTGGCTACTTGTCTATCAGATATTCACTCCATGGTTACATATAAAACCATTTTCACTAACTCCTATTTTCTATAATTTTAAATCCCAGAGTCCACATTCTGTTAATGAACTGAAGTAATCTGTATGCCATGATCTAGAGAAGAATAAAAGTGCACATTTATGATATACAATGCTGTAAAGTCAGCTATCTTTTCATCAAAATTCATGGTTCTTCTATAAAATTGTCATTGTGAAGTGGCTGCCCAGCCATAAACTACATTTCTCAGATGCTTGTGGATATATGAAGGGCAACATAGTTAGTTCTTATGATAGAATATAAACAGAAATGATATGTGTCTCTTAAAGGCAAAGACTGTTAAAAGGCCAATGCATCTCTACCTTGCCTGTCTTTTCAAGTCAGCCAACTTTAAACAGAGTACTCAAAGGCCCTGAGGCACGCTGAAGCCACAAGATGAAAGAAGGATGAATCCTTAAACTTATGTATGCAGTATATCTGTGCATCTATTACAAACAAATGTATTGGATTTATATATAAAAAGAAATAAATTATCTTTAGCTATGGACTCGAAATATTACTCTTGGCTGGCTTGTGGAAATAGCAAAGATAATAGAGAACACTGAATGAATTTGAGGCCTTATTGGATTAGAACATCTGAGTATGTTTGCACCCCAGAGAGTGGGAGATAAAACTGAAAAAGACTTTGAGCAACAGAGATTCATTAAGAATTTTTAGTTAAACAAAGGAACTCAGTCTTCCAAATAAAGATCATATTTAGGTGTTTCCTTTATCTATTTCAAACTATTACTTGAGATGACAGTAAATTATAAGTCATCAAGCTGAGACATGCAAAGGAGCAAGAAAGCCACAAAATACATCAGAGTTGAGATTTACATCCAGGAAAACTTTTCTATGTGGTTGTTGGTGTTTGGAATTGCTTAGACTCAAATAGATGAGAAAGTTACTAGGGTTTTGAGAAATTTTTTTTTCTAAAATGATGGTAACAGTAAAACACACAAATCAGTCTGTGCAGTCCTTGAGGAGTATATCCTCCCACAAAGATGAGAAATGGGGATAATAGAAGACAAGGTACTTCCCACAGGGTGAAGCCAGGTGCCAATGGAAAAACAAATATATCAGATCACAAAATCAAAATATGACTTTTACTATTGCCATGACATCAATGAATAGGGCCCTTCAAATATGAATTTAAAATGAAGTGCCTTCATTCTGGATCTGGAGGAATCCTGGTAGCTTCCAGTTCAAACTGTGTTGGCTGAAAGTTTTGTTCTCCAACTGACATATGAGTAGGATTTTGAATGCCAGAATCTGACATTATGAATAGATTTTTTGTTTTCTTCCTTTTATTTCTGGGATTTATCAATCATTATTAGATGCAAAAATACATAAGTAAGCATTCAAGTAACTTCTAAAAATATCAGTTATAACCAATAGGATCACCAAATTTATTTGGCAACTTTACATTACTTCAAGATTAGCAGTCAAAAATGACTTCAGAGTAGCTATACACAGACATTAGTGACTGTTACATTTATATTACCAGCCATGAGCTTTCCAAGGAACTCCAGACACTTACATTCAACTTCATATTAGCTATTAAGAATCTTTAAAATGGCTATTTTTTCTGCCTAAAAGATTTTTTCCATAGATGACTATCCACATAATAATTTTATATTATCCTTCATTGCTTTATTTTTTCTCATTTAGTACTCAATGATTTAAATATAATACATATTTTACTTATAAATATTATTTGTTTACAATACTCATTAATATGGTGTTCCATGAAGGTAAGTATTTCTGTCTGTTTGGTTCACTGGATAAACCCTGGTGCATAGAACAATGATTGACATGAAGTAGGCACTCAATAAATATTGCCTCTTTCAAGTTCCCACAGATCTCTGGTTCTATTCTCTGAGTAACAGTCTGCTCCTAATAGTTCTATTTCAAAACTAGATCAATTGTTTGCATTTTCTACATATATATTTTCAAACCACATCAAAATAAGTATAATATCCAAACAAATTCAAGCTTAAACATTTTAATTTTTCATTTAAAAATTTCTAACCAATTTTCATTTTGAAAATAGTTAACACTAAGAATGTCTCAATATTAGTAATTGCTGTGGTTTTAATATGTCCTCCATAGTTTATGTATTGGAAGCTTAATCTCCAGTGCAACAGCATTGAAATGTGGGACGCTCAAGGGGTCATTAGGCAGAACCCTCACAAATGGCTTAGTTATCAGGGGAGTGATTTTGTGAACAAGTGGTAAGTTCCACACCCTTTCTCTCTTGCTCCTGCACTCTCTTGCCATTCTGCCTTCCACCATGGAATGACACAGAAAAAAAGTCCTTGCCTGATGTGAGCCCCTTGACCTTGGACTTTCAGTCTCCAGAGCTGTGAGAAATAAATCTGTTCTTTATTAATTATTCAGTCTCGTGGGATATTACTAAATACCTATCAAAATGGCTATGGTTTTTTTAAAGTGACAATGTCAATACTGGTTAGAATGTAAAAGAACTAGATTACGCATATATTTTTCTTGGTAATATAAAAGGGCACACATACATTGCAAATTATTTTGACAGTTTCTTATAAACTAAATATGCAATTTCCATATTATCCAAAAAATGAAAATTATATTTATACAAAAACTTGTACACAAATGTTTATATCAGCTTTACTGTTACTAGTACTGAGTTAACAAATCAGATATTTTTCAATGGATAAATGGTTAAATAATCTGTGGCACATGGGATATTACTCAACAATACAGAGAAATAATCTATTGATGCATGCAACAACTTTATGGATTTCAAATGAATTAGGCTGAATTAAACAATAAAATCCCCCAGGGTTATACACTGCATAATTATATGATATTTTTAAAATGGTAAACTTATAAGCATGAAGAAATAATTTCAGTGTCAATATTCTGGTTGTGTTATTTGACTCTATGTAAAATGTTACAAATGAGGAAAACTGGCTGAAAAGTGTACAAGATCTCTCTGTATTATTATTATCATATTTTAAGTTCTGGGATGCATGTGCAGAATGTGCAGGTTTGTTACATAGGTATGCACATGTCATGGTGGTTTGCTGCACCCATCAACCCGTCATCTACATTAGGCATTTCTCCTAATGCTATCTGTCCCGTAGCCACCCATTCCCCAACAGGCCCCAGTGTGTGATGTTCTCCTCCCTGTTTCCATGCATTCTCATTGTTCAACTCCCACTTATGAGTGAGAACATGCAGTGTTTGGTCTTCTGTTCTTGTGTTAGGTTGCTGAGAATGATGGCTTCCAACTTCATCCATGTCCCTGCAAAGGACATGAACTCATCCTTTTTCATGGCTGCATTGTATTCCATGGTGTATATGTGCCACATTTTCTTTATCTAGTCTAGCATTGATGGGCATTTGGGTTGGTTCCAAGTCTTTGCTATCATGAACAGTGCTGCAATAAACATACGTGTGCATGTGCCTTTATAGTAGGATGACTTATAATCCTTTGGGGATATACCCCGTAATGGGATTGCTGGGCAAATTGTATTTCTGGTTCTAAATCTTTGAGGAATCACCACACTGTCTTTCACAATGGTTGAACTAATTTACACTCCCACCAGCAGTGTAAAAGCATTCCTATTTCTCCACATCCTCTCCTCTGTTAAGATTTTCACTGTGAAGTAATTGTAAATTCACATGCAGTTTTTTCTTGACTTTTTAATGATCGCCATTCTAACTGGCGTGAGATAGTATCTCACTGTGGTTTTGATTTGCATTTCTCTAATGACCAGTGATGATGAGCTTTTTTTCATATGTTTGTTGGCCACATAAACGTCTTCTTTTGAGAAGTGTCTGTTCATAGCCTTCACCCACTCTTTGATGGGGTTGTTTATTTTTTTCTTGTACATTTGTTTTTTTGTAGATTCTGGATATTTGCCCTTTCTCAGATAGATCGATTGCAAAAATTTTCTCCCCATCTGTAGGTTGCCTGTTCACTCCGATGATAGTTTCTTTTGCTGTGGAGAATCTCTTTAGTTTAACTAGATCCCATTTGTCAATTTTGGCTTCTGTTGCCATTGCGTTTGGTGTTTTAGTCATGAAGTCTTTACCTATGCCTATGTCCTGAATGGTATTGCCTAGGTTTTCTTCCAGTGTTTTTATGATTTTGGGTCTTACATTTAAGTCTTTAATCCAGCTTGAGTTAATTTTGTATAACGTGTAAGGAAGGGATCCAGTTTCAGTTTTCTGCATATGGCTAGCCAATTTTCTCAACATTCCATGCTCATGGATAGGGAGAAGCAATATCGTGAAAATGGCCATACTGCCCAAAGTAATTTATAGATTCAATGCTATCCCCATCAAGCTGCCATTGCCTTTCTTCACAGAATTAGAAAAAAACTACTTTAAATTTCACATGGAACAAAAAAAATGCCCATATAGCCAAGACAATCCTAAGCAAAAAGAACAAAGCTGGGAGCATCATACTACCTGACTTCAAACTATACTACAAGGCTACAGTAACCAAAACAGCATGGTACTGGTACCACAACAGATATATAGACCAATGGACCAGAACAGAGGCCTCAGAAATAATACCATATATCTACAACCATCTGATCTTTGATAAACCTGACAAAAACAAGCAATGGGGAAAGGACTCCCTATTTAATAAATGGTGTTGTACTATTTCTTTTAAACTGGATGTGAATTTATAACTACTCCAAAGTGAAAATTTTAATTAAAAATACTATGTGCAAGGGGAAAGCCATACAAAATGTAAGTGTGAATAGAATATATGATGTAATGACTGTGAAGTAGATTTAGTAAAAGATAGGTTATTGGAGGAAAGCAGCTTTAGAACAAACCCAAAATAAAAATTAGCAAGTGCAAATAAATTCTGAGGAGATATGTAAGTTAAAAGACAAGGTTGAAGTAATGGACACGGAACTGTGTAACCCACAATGTACAAAGAAGACATGAGTTTCTCTTCTAATAATTTTCAGAGTAACCAAAGTTAATTAATGGAGGTTTCTGAAAACTACATAGAGTGGGTAACAGTGAAATGCCAATCTAAATCATAATAACTTATTAAACTGAATGACTTGAAGAAAATTACATTTGAGTCAGTTTATACTAGCTGTATTCAAAATATCAGCTTATGTACCTGGCATGACGTTCTGGATAAGGTATAATAAACATTTTCAACTAGTTGATCCTCCTTTGTGTTTACTCTGTTTTATTTGCTTTATTTTCTAAAAGAAATAAAATCACATGTATATTATCAGATACCTATTTGAAAATCTGAGACTTATATTAAAGCTTCTTAAGGTTTAAATGATAAAATTTTCATTTGACTTTCAAAATAATAGTCCATAAATATATACACCTGCTGTGTACCCACAAAAATCAAAATTAAAAATATATATTTAAAGGAGGAATTTTAAATTATATTTACTCTTATTTTTATTCTTTTTAAATTTTTTTTTAATTTATACTAGAGGTGGGGTCTCACTGTATTACCCAGGCTGGTCTCAAACTCCTGGACGCAAGTGATCATCCTGCTTCAGCCTCCCAAATTGCTGGGATTACAGACATGAGCCACTGGGTCCAGCTATATTTCTTTTCTAAAAAATATCATAAACCTTAAAAAGAATTCTGGGTAAAGCAAAGTCAAATATCTATCTCTTTTTATCATTTAAGTGCTCCAATTAGAATTAAAAATACTTTATTAAATGATATAAAGTAAATTAAGGCCTAGATTTTACCAACTATGAAGAATAAATGCATATCAACTTAGTTTCATCAGAAATGTTTGTCAGCAATGATGAATTCTCATGCTTATCTTTTTATATATTAATGCAATTTTCATGTGATCAAAAAGCATAATCAAAAACTGAAGCAAAACTTCATAGAAATTTCATTGTATTCTTCACTCTTATTTGTCACAATTGTTTTTCGCTAAAATAAATATTTATTGTAAATATGTGTGTGTATTATTATTATTAAATTGTGGATGTACCTAGTAACAGTTCTAAGTAGATCATTATTTACTGAGTCAAAAATGACCAAAGTTAATGTACCAATATTGCAATCTCTCTCACTGGATGGGTTGTGCTTGTAATGAGCCCTAACTGAATTTTATTCATCTTTTGGGAGTTTGAAATTTCCAAATGAAAAATAATTACAAGATTTTGTGTTATTTTAACCCTTTTTCATTATTGTTGCTAATTAAGAAGGCTATATATATATATTTTTTTAAATCATCTGGACTTGAACAATCATTTATCTGTCAGATTATTTTTAGTTTGCAATAAAAAAGGAAAAGAAAGAAATTACATGTTTCAAATTCTGTGGGTATATGCAAAAACAGAAACATTTAGGCTGTATCCAAAGCAATTGCAACAAAGACAAAAATGGACAGTTGGAACCTAATTAAACCGAAGAGCTTCTGCACAACAAATAAACTATCAACAGAGTAAACAGACAACCTACAGAATGGGAGAAAATTCAAAAACTGTGCATCCAACAAAGGTCTAGTATCCAGAATCTATAAAAAACTTAAAGAGTTGAATGAGCAAAATCAAATAACTCCATTAAAAATGGGCAACAGACATGAACAGATACTTCTCAAAAGAAGACATACAAGTAGCCAACAAACATGAAAAATACTTAATATCATTAATCATCAGAGAGATGTAATCCAAAACCGCAATGAGATACCATCTCACACAAATCAGAATGGCTACTATTAAAAAGTCAAAAAACAGCAGATGTTGATGATGTTGGTGAGGCTGTGAAGAAAAGCGAACGCTTACATACTGTTGGTGGGAATGTAAATTAATTCACCTACTGTGAAAAGCAATTTGCAGATTTCCCCAAGAACATAAAACACAACTATGATTTGACCGAGCAATCCCAATACTAGGTAAATATCCAAAAGAAAATAAGTCATTCTATCAAAAAAAGAAAACACATGCATTCTTATGTTCATCACAGCACTATTCACAGTAACAAAGACATTGAGTCAAACTAGGTATCCATGAATGGTGGATTGGAATTTTTTTTTAATGTGGTACGTTTAGACCGTGGAATACTATGCAGCCATAGAAATGAAATCACATCAGCTGCAGCAACATGAATGCAGCTGGAGGCCATAATCCTGAGCAAATTAATGCAGTAACAGAAAATCAAATACAGCATATTATTACTTATAAGAGGGAGCTGAACTTTGGGTACTCATGCACAAAAAGATGGCAGCAATAGACACTGCAGACTACTAGAGTGGGAAGAGAGGAAGGAGGCAAGCTTTGAAAAACAATCTATTGGGTACTATACTTAGTACCTGGGTGATAGGATCTATTGTACCACCAATCTCAGCATCATGTAATATTCCCAAGTAACAAACCTACACATGTACCCCCTGAATCTAAAATGAAAGTTTGAAATTATTAAAAAAAAAAAAACTTAGCTTGTTATAATGTCCTGAAACTATATTATACCACTTTTATAATTATGCCTATATTATCAAAAATTCACAGAGATGTGCGTTCAAGTATATTTTAGATTGCTCAGTAAATTATATTTCCAAATCATCTATCCCTACAAAACGTAGGAGTATTTTTGATCAAAAATTACATCCAATAGGAAGTAGAAATTAATTTTTATTTGATTTGACTTAGCAGCATAAAGCATCTTGACAATTTAGATTGTTTCTTCTACTGGAATGTTAAAGAAAATACAGGAACGCCTACCATAAAGTCTACTTTGCATATATCAAATATATTTTTTAAAAATCTCTTAATGCTTATAACATTCTTCTATAGAGGGAAAGAGAGATTGTTTTTCCTTTCCTAACATATGAAACATAGTTAAATAGGCATTATGAGTTCTGTCTAGACATCGAAAAAAGAAAGTGGCAGAACTCCTAGAGCTAAGATTTGCATTCACCTTAAGTCTTACTGAAAAGTGCAAACAAATTGTACAACAACTATATTTAATACTTGAGTTAAATTTCCAGATATAAGTCAAATATTTATCAATTTTAGCAGAATATGAACCAGGGTAAATTGTCCTTGTTACACATCTGTTTACAGTCTAATATGTGACTGAAACAATTTTCTAAGCTTTGTTTTAAATGTAATTATTTCAGAAATAAATGGTGCTATCATTTTCCAAAAACATACTCCATGTTCCAAGTGAGATGTATTCCATACCTACATCTCTATTGAATTAAATGAGTAAATGAAGGGAAAAAACAGTTGGGAATGGTTAGGTTTAATATACTCCTTATTTAACTTGAATGTAATAATATAAATGTCATAAGCATAGAGTCTGGTTACATAGCAAAGTAATTAGGAGCAGGGACTTATTGGCTCTGATCCTTCATTCAAATTACTTAAATTATCTGTACTTAAGTATTCATCATCTATAAAATTGGAGTCAAATAAGAATAAGAATAACATTGCAGGATTGCCATGAAGATTAAATGAGCATTGGCACCAAAGGTTTGTTAACCCAGTGCCTCTCAGATACTAACTATGGTAAAAATCTTAGTTTTAATAATTTATTTTTTAAAAAATAATTTTACATATTTAAAATTAAACTCTTGAATTATTAAATAATATTTTTTCACACTGGGGCTATTAAGGCTAACATTTTTATTGTGACTAAATTTGTATTACACTTCTGAACAAATGTATATTACTATAAGACATTGGGTGTGATGCATGATATTATGTCAACTTGACATGGCCTTAGGATGTAGACATCTGATTAAACATTACTTCTGGATGTGTCTGTGAGGGTGTTTCTGGAAGAGGTAAGCATTTTAATTGGTTAACTGAGTCAAGCAGATGGCTTTCCCCATTGCATGTGGGCATCATCCAATCCTTTGAGAGTCTGAATAAAACAAAAAGGCAAAAGTGAAAGAAGGTTGGATCCTTCCTTCCTCTGCCACAATGCTTGAGCTGGAATGACAATCTTCTTCTGTCCTGGGAACTACTGGTTCTTAAGCCTTCACACTTTAGACTAAGACCTAAACCATCAGCCCTTAAACTCTAAGGCCTTTTAACTAAACTACAGGCTTCTCTGAGTCTCTGGCTTGCAGATGACATAGCATGAGAATTTTCATCCTCCATAATTATGTGAAACAATGTCTTACAACAAATCTAATTTACTTATCTATCTAGCTAGCTATGCTACTGATTCAATTTTTCTGAAAAACCCTGAAAAATGCAGATTTTGGTACTGGGAGTATTCTAGAGGAAAAAAAAATTCTAAACATGCATTTCTGTATTGATCTAGAGTTTCTGGAATTGGCTTCCTAATCTGATATAACTTAGATATTCCAGTGACTCTATTTCCAGTAGTAGAGAAAGCACTGATAGTCCACAGCATAAATTGGTAATAGAGACATACAAAATATTTGTATTGGATACTCTTGATTAAGCACTTATAAGAAACAAGAAGCTTGATAACTATGTTTATAATACTTTTGAATATTTACAGAAAACTGAGAAATATGATAAAGTCAGTTAGTTGCTCAAATGTCACTGGTTTAATGTGGTTAAATATATTTATGTATGTATATATGTATATATGTATATATTATATATGTTTATAGGTATATATTTATATGTACTATATATGTTTATAGGCATATATTTATATATGCATATAGGTATATATTTATATATAATATATATCCATATGTATATATGTATGTCTACAAAATGATATATATTAAATATATATCAGGGATTTGATATATATTTATATTTAATATATCACATATATGATATACTAATATATATCATATATATCAAATCCCTGAAATATACATAAATATATTATGCATATTAAGCATATCTATATTTATATATACCACCTCATGTGCTGCATACATGACTTGAAGGTTTCTATGTGTGTCTTGAAAGAAACTTTTATCTTCTATAGCCACAGAGCTGATGTTGCTGAAAATCAAACTCAGAATCTCATCCTGCAATTGTCTGAATTACAATTCAAGTTGAACTCCCAACCAGCTTCACAGGGTGTGTATTGTAAAAGTAGTAAAAAAAATTAGGGAAAAAAATGGCATCTTGTAAGTTGGAATGGGGACATGTGGAATGGCTGATTATACTGGGGAAACTGAGCTTCTAAATTCCGATGATAGTTTTGTCAGTGGAACAGTTCTTCCTAACCTCAGCATAAGTGGCCTCCCTACTCCAAGCAGAAGCAGTATCTCCACTCCAAGTGGCAACATCATCCACACCCCCAGTGGTATCAGCCTTTCCACCCCTGCATGAATGGATTAACTCTGCATTACCTGAAAAAAAAACAGTAATTACCTCCCCTGAGACAATTGCCACACCAGAAAATGTTGCTTCTCTTCATGATCCATCTATTTTACCCTTATTTGCGAATAGACCTGTAACTGGACTCAGGTACCACCAGGCCACTAATGATGAGGTACAAAGTGTGACCAATGAGGAGGTGTGCACTTCCAGAAACTACTTGACTTTTCTAATTAATACAGACATGAATCAGGAAATATGTGTGGAAATAAATATGGAGGTTACGGGATAATGGTGGAAGTGACATAAAATTGGATTAAGCCAAATTTATTAATATAGGCTCACTTAACAGAGATTCTGCATTTAATGTTGCAGTTCAGGGAGTTAAAAATTACTCTTGCAGTTTTTTTAATGATTGGCTGAGATAGGAACCAAAATATTGACCACTTTGAGTGAACCAAAAATGCCTACCTCCTTTGGTGTAATGTAGAGGAAGGGATTAAGAGGCTTAGAGAAAATTGAATGTTAAGAGTGGATTTTTCATTTAGTACTTACTCACCCACACTGGGACAGCCCAGAAGTTATACCTTTCACCACCACTTTGAGAAATAAATTTTTGGGGAAACTCCACTATCTATGAAGGGCTCTGTGATCGCTTTTCTCTGCGGGATAGACCTTACAATGGAAACTACAGCAATTCGATTAGAAAAACTAAATGCAATGGGAGTAAATGTATTCCAGAGGCACAAGGGTGAAGTGTTGGCAATCAACCACCAAAGGCAGGGTTGTCATGGTAACCCTAATGGACAGCAAAGTAAAAGCAGCAATCAGAATAGTCTGACTGATGTATACCTATGACATTGGCTAGTCAATCATGATATTTGAAAAGTGAAATAGATAGGAAGCCTACTATCTTCTTACCTGATTTATATAAGAAGGAAAGTTCTAGGTTAAATGAACAAAAGTCTAACTTGAATCATTAAAGTATAGAATCATAGCCCCTCAATCAGTTTCCAGAATTGGGCCAGTTTACAGACCCAGAACCCCTTATATAATTAAAAGGTTATATCTTCTCCAGGAAGGACCCTGATACACTATAATTTATGTTGTCAATATTTCTCTAAGCCTTTCCTATCGGGATTCAATATTTCAGCAGCACAGATCAACATTGAGTTCTCAATATACTTCCATTTCCCAGAGTGATCAGCCAATGGTACCTAGTGACATGTTGATTACATTAGGCCACCTCAGTCATGGAAAGGGAAATATTTTGTTTATATTGGAGTAGGCATTTACTACAGTTTTTAATTTGCCTTTCCTGCATGCAGTGCTTTTGTCTAAACTACAATCTGTGGGCTTATAGAATGCTTGATCCACCATTATAATATTCCATACAGCATTGCCTCTTATCAAGAAACTCACTTCATAGCAAACGAAGAGTGGCAATAGGCCCATGTTATTCACCATCCTGAAGCAGCTAGCTTGATAAAATAGATAAGTGGCCTTTTGAAGACACAATTACAGTACCAGCTGGGTGTCAAGACTTTGCAGGGGTGGGGCAAGGTTTTCCAGAAGGCTTTATATGTGCTCTGTCAGTTGGTAACATTTGGTGCTATTTGTCCCATAGCCAGAATTCACAGGTCCAGGAATCAAGGTGTGAAAATGAGAGTGGCAGCACTCACCATTATCCCCTGTGACCCACTAGCAAAAATGTTGCTTCCTGTTACTGCCCTATTATACTCTGCTGGCCCAGAGGACGTAGTTCCAAAGGGAGGAACCCTTCTACCAGGAGACACAATAATCATTTCATTAGAATGAAAGTTAAGACTGTCACTCAGCCACTTATGACTACTCATGCCTCTGAATCAACAGGGAAAGAAAGTTACTGTGCTGGGTGAGGTAATTGATTTTGATTACCAAAGCAAAATTTGACTACTACTCCACAATGGGGACAATAAAGAGTATGCTTGAAATACAGAAAATCCCTTAGGGTGTCTTAGTGTTACCATACCCTATGATGAAGATCCATATAATGTTTGAACAACCTAATCCAGGCAGGACTGCTCATAATGCAGACCTGTCAGGAAGGAAGGTTTGGTTAACCTCACCAGGTAAACAACCATGACCAGCTGATGTACTTGCTGAAGGCAAAGGAAATACACAATGGGTAGTGGAAGAAAGTAGTTATAAATAACAGATATGACCATGGGGCCAGTTAGAGAATTGAGGGGTTTAATCATCATGAGTATTTTCTTAGGTTTTTAAGAATGCATTTGTGTGTGTGTATGTTCATGTGCATATACACAGCAAATATATTTGTTTTCTTCCCTCTCTTTTGTCTTATCAAGTAACATAAGATGAATAGACTTTATGTAAAAGTTTCCTAGTGTTGTTAATCTTATATCATAGCATTTAAGCTAAGGAATATCAGGAAAAGTAAACATCACTCAAAGATTTTACCTCCTCTTCTGGGGAAGAGGTTAGTGCATTTTTCAATGTATTCAGGATAATTGCATTATGTTAGGCAGAATTATGATATTGCTATTGTCTTTATTTGAGATGGATATGGGTACCAAGTTGACAAGGGGTAGACTTCTGATAGTTAATTTTATGTGTCAACTTGACATGGCCATGAATGTTCAGATATGTGGTTAAAAACTATTTTTGTGTTTATAAGATTGTTTCTGGAAAGTGATTAGCATTTGAATTGATGAACTAAATGAAATATAAGGCCCTTCCAAATATGTGTGGGCATCATCCAATCCATTGAGCACCTGAATAGAACAAAAAAGTGGAGGAAGCTTGGATTATCCTTCCCTCTGCCAGACTGCTTGAGCTAGGACATCAATCTGCCACCTTCGGTGCTACTGGTTCCTAAGCCTTCAGATTAGTCCTGGAATCTACATCATTGGCACTCCAGCTCTCAGGCCTTTGAGCTATGCCACTGGCTTTCCTGGGTCTAAAGCTTGCAAACAGCATATCACGAGATTCCTCAGCCTCTATAATTGTGTGAGATAGTACCTTATAACAAATCCCTCTCTATTGGTTCTGTTTCTCTGAAGAACACTGATGAATACTCTGTGCTTTGAGATTTCAAGGTATTTCTTTCAACATATTTGCTAGGAGACAAAGAATTTTAACTGATTATGAGCCTCTTATGGTGGCACTTAATCTCCTTCTCTACTGTTACTATTTTGAATAAGATCATTGCTTTAACGAGACTGTTTCTACCTCCTGAAATAATTATAGGATGTATGTATACTCAAATATTTTAGGGTAAAGAAAAAATTGCCCACTATAGCATATTGCTTTTCATGATATAAAATCAATCTCTCTCTCTCTGTGTTCCTTCCAAAGCATCTCTCAATGTTTCAGGGTGTTTTCCTTTTACAGGAAAAGAAAGGGGTTTCTTATGAGAAACTATCACACCTACCATATTTCTATTATGTAAACAATCATGCCATCAGAATCTAGCTTTCTGTTTTTTAATCTGAATAGTGTTACAAAAAAGTTACATTGCTATTATAGTCATATTAATTATCCCCCTTTTAAAATAAAATGTATACATATTTTTCAAAATGTCTTGTGCCCCATAGTTCAGACTTTAATGGTCCACTTTTCAAATAGTTTTTCAGCTCACCTATCTTCTAGACATCTATATACAAATTCACCTTAGTGTGACTTTTTCATGTTCTTTCACAGAAGTTTAGTTCCATTTTGTTTCAGTTCTACTGTTTTGTCTTCCACATTCTTTGCTCATCTTTATCCTATATTGTTTTACCACTCTCGATTGTACTTATACATTTTACAGTGTATGTTTCCAACTAAACTCTGCTCCTTAAGCTCAAAGGAGAATACTTGTTCATCAATTTCTCTAGTTCTTCATAACACACATTTTGATAATTTCATCAAAGATAAATTGTCAAGTTTGAAAGTAAAACTTATAGGAGAACATATATTTTCCCATATAGATATGCCAACCATTACACTAATACTCAAAATTCCAAAATATGAACAAAAGCACAATTTGCAATGTCATTTTCTAATTGCATGAGCCCAGAGGGGAAGAATGGAAGGGTCCTGAAGTAAAGAGTAACATTGAAAGTTTCATTTTATTGCCTCATGTATTTGCCAAAATGTCAGGTTTTCTAAGTTAAAATGGTATATTTGATAAAAGTACTTTCTAACTATAAAATTTAATTAACAAATATTTAAGATGTCCCCTAATAAAAACCTGGCACTTCATAGGTAGACCTATCAAACGTAACAGCTACACAGTGTAAAGAAATGTCCACGCAACAAAACTTCTCCACTTAGTTGGAAGTCATTGATAAAAAAAGAGTGATATCAGAGCTTGACCTTATGTTACCAATAGTTTAACCAAAACACTGAAAAAAAACCATTATTGTTATAGTTGTCTAGTAACAGTCTCACAAAGAAAAACTGCTTAATCTCCATTGAATTACTTGGAAAATCTCCACAAATTGGGCAAATTCCAACAAAATTTGAGGTATAAAATTAGTTTATTTCAGAAGTCATTTTTCATTGTAGGATGAAGATATGCACTTAAAATGTGTTTAGAATATATTCATCACAGTTAAACTTTTATTTTTTTAATGTGGAGGATTGAGAGAGAAAGAGAGAGAGAGAAAGGATATATATATATATAATATTTATATATATAATATGTATTTATTCAAAGCTCAAGGGGGAGTCAGAATAATTCTGACACATAGTTCAAACTTGAAGTCATATGCTGAAGTATAATATATATTCATATATAAAATATATAGAGAGAGGTATATTTATACCTCTCTCTATATGTATATTCCAGCCTCCAGTTGGAGCTACATAGAAAGAGAGCTTGGGTGCCTCCAGCTCTATATATAACTCAAGGTATTGGAGACTGGAAGTCCAAGAGTATTATGGTGGCATCTGGTTAGAGGTCATAGGGTCATCTTCTGGTCAGAGATGGAAGGCAGAAGTGAGCATGTGAGAAAATGAAAAAAAATGGGGCAAACTTATCTTTGTATTAGAAGTCCATTCCCATGATAACAGCATTAATCCATTCATGAGAGCAGAACCCTCATAACCTAATCACTTATTAAAGCCTCAACCTCTTAATACCACTACAATGAGGATGAAATTTCCAACACATAAAATTTGGGGGTCACATTCAAACCATAGCATTCCACCCCTGTCATCCAAAATTTTCATTCTTCTCACATTGCAAAATAAATGTAGTTCATATCAATAATTCCAAAAGTTTTAACTCATTCCACCATTAACTCAGAAGTCAAAAGTTAAGAGTCTTATCTAAATTAGAAATGGGTGATACTCAAAACATGATTAATCCCAAGCCAAAATCTTCCACCTGTGAGCCTGTGAAATCAAAACTCGTTATTTCTTTTCAAAATACAATGTTGGAACAGGCATGAAATAGACATTCCTTATATAAAAGGGGGGAATAGACAAGAAAAATGGGTAACTGGTACCAAGAAATTCTAAAACCAAACAGAAGAAATCACATTAAGTCTTAAAGCTGGAGAATAATCTCTGTGGACTACATGTTCTGCTTCCTGCATACACTGGAGTAGAGGTTGGGCTCCCAAGACTTCAAGCAGCCCTCCCTCGTTTGCTTTGATGGGCTCAGCCTATGCTTCATTTCTTTCAAGTTGGAGTCTCATGCCTGCAGCTTTTCCAGGATGGAGCTGCACGCTGGTGACCTTACAGTTCTGTGGTCTTGGGAGTAGCCCCACTTCCACTGCTTCATTAGGTAATGCCCTGGTGGAGACTGTGGTGACTCCACTGCTGTAGCAGGAGTCTGTCTTGGACCTCTGGCTATCCTGTACATCCTTTAAATTCTAGGGGGAGGTAACTATATCCCCACAGCTCTTACATTCTGCAAGCCTGCAGACTTAATGCAATATGGATGCTATCAATGATTAAAGCCTGTATCTTACCAAGCAGCAGCCAGCGTGGCTCCAGTGCTCTCTTGAGCTGCAGGTAGAGAAGTTGAAGAGTACTCAGTGGCATGCAGGGATCAGAGACCTGAGGCAGATCTGGGTAGTGAGTTCAGGGAAGGTGCCCCAGGCCTTCAATGGTCTGAAGGTCCTCCCAAACCATTCTTCTCTCCTAGAGCTCTGGGTCTATGCTGGGAACGACAGTTTTGAAGATATTTAAAATGCTTCTGGGATCTTTCTCCCATTGTCTTGATAAATACTACATGGCTCCTTTCTATTTATTTGTTTTTTTTGTTTTGTTTTGTTTTTTGAGACGGAGTCTCCTTCTGTCGCCGAGGCTGGAGTGCAGCGACGCAATCTCTGCTCACTGCAAGCTCCGCCTCCCGGGTTCACGCCATTCTCCTACCTCAGCCTCCCGAGTAGCTGGGACTACAGGCACCCACTACCAGGCCTGGCTAATTTTTTGTATTTTTAGGAGAGACGAGGTTTCACCGTGTTAGCCAGGATGGTCTCGATGTCCTGACCTCGTGATCCGCCCGCCTCGGCCTCCCAAAGTGCTGGGATTACAGGCGTGAGCCACAGCGCCGGGCCGGCTCTTTTCTATTTATTATAATCTCTTTAGCAAATGGTTGCTTGGCTGCACACTTACTATTCACTCCTGAATAGGTTTACTCATTCTTTGCATTGGCAAGCTGCAAAATGTCCAAATATTTTCATTTTGTTTCCCTTTTAATTATAAATTTTATTTTTAACTCATTTTTTTAGAACTCACTGTATATGATTAAAAGTAGCGATGAAGCAGCCTAAATTGTTGCTGTTTAGATATTTCTTCTGCCAGATATCCTAGTTCATCAATCTTAAGGTCTACCTTTCATAAAGTTCTCAAGCATGGACACAATTCAGCCAAGGTCATTTCTACCGAATAACAAGGATGACCTTTATTCTAATTTCCAACACTTTGTTCCTCCTTTACATTTGAGACTTGATTAGAATTGCCTTTACCATCTATATTTCTACTTACATTCTGGTCACAACCACTCAAGTAATTCTGAAGTAGATTTCGGCTTTCACTAGTTCTGGGGTTCTCTTGTGAGCCCACCCCAGAATCATCCTTAATGCTCTGTTCATTGCAATACAAGCTTTTCCTAGCCTGCTCCTCAAAATTCTTTCAGCCTCTACCCATTACCCAGCTTCAAAGCCACTTCTACTTTTTCAGGTATTTGATGTAGCAACAGTCCCACTTCCTGGTACCGATTCTCTGTCTTAGTCCATTTTCTGCTTCTATATTAGAATCTCACATACTGGTGATCTGTAAAAAATAGAAGTTTATTTGGTCCATGGTTTTGGAGACCAGAAATTCCAAAGGCATGGGCTGCAGTCCAATGAGGGTCATCCCATGGTGGAAGATAGAATGCAGAGTTGAATGTGCAAGACAGAAATAAATTTATCCTTTCATTAGGAGCCCACTCCCATGATAAGTAACCCACTCCTAAGATAGCAACATTAGTCCATTTATAAGAGCAGATCCCTCATGACTTAATTACCTCTTAAAGGCCCAACTTCTTAATACTATTACAATGGGGATTAAGTTTGCAACACATGACATTTGGGGTATGCATTCAAACCATAGAATGCATTTAGATCAATGACACAGAGAGAGAGAGAGAGAGAGAATGTTTCCCATTAGAATGCTTTTTTATCTGTGCTTTTCCAGATCATTTTAGTTTTACACTAATTAAGTGGTATGCAAATAGGAGTTAGAGTAAAGCATAATTGTTAAACACTGCCAAATCTATGCTCATTTTAAGGTTTTATAATTCAAATTATATTATTAACAATTCTTAGAAATTTTGCTATCGATAAATTTACCATTTTCTGTCTCGGCAGTTAAAACTTAGCCACAGCAGGTGATTTTTACATAATCCTTATTATAAAATTTTCATAGAATATATACTGAAAATAATCATCTAGCAATTTATGAAATACTAAACTTTATAACATTGTAAATTATATTAAGTCCTCCAGGCAATGGAAAATTTTCATAAACTCTTCAGAGCCCAGGGAACCAGGACCAGAGATCCTGAGACTAATGTTGAAATAAAAAGGTGAGGATATCAATTAGGTTAATAAGAAGAGGATACAAAGGAGAGACAGTGGGATATAGGAGAAATAAGACAATAAAAAGAAGTGATGCTTTATAAAGGTAGAGGCAATCAATGCTCTTGTGATGATAACTGTGGCCAAATTTTTCTTTCAATTCATTTTTGGGGAGTGTGGTTCTCTCTGCCATAAGCAGAAGTAACCTTGGGAAATTATTTCTAAAGAGTTTTCTTTGTTTTGGCTCTCCTCAAAGTATCTCAGAAAAGAATTGGTTTGTAAGTAGTTTCAGACTAGGTGATCCAAAAAGACACGCTGAATAAATGGGGATTTGAGGTTCAGGAGGCAGAAAGCTTATAAAGAGTAGGATAAATAGTGTGTTACCAATCTGAGACACTCAATTCTTCTGGGGACACAATGAGAAACAATGTTGAACATGCCTCATAATCATACTACAAAAGCTGTTTATCCACCAACTCCCCTCTCTTATTTAGAGTCATTAAGCCCATGGCACTTCTGTAGTCTAAAAACACACTTCCTTTAGCTCATTTCTACCCATTTATTATTCCATAGATGTAAAAATTAACCACTAAATATTCTCACCAGTTTTCTTATATATGAAAATCAATATGAGTTAGTAACTCTGGCATTATCTTTTATAATAAATAAAAATGGTTTGTTAAATATATTTTAATTTTTTTCTGAAAATGTTTTTATTTTTCAGTGGACTATTAACTTTACACTTACGTACAATTGCAAATTGTGAACACCTTTTATTAGAGGTCAAAGACCACTGCTCAAAACCCTTTACTGAATGCTTTCTTTATTATTTTAAACATTATTTCTAGCTCTCTTCCGAACAAATATGGTCATACTTGCTGACCTGTACTCTGAACTTGTAACGTAATGTCAAAATCTATTGTTTATAATAAAAGAACTGGCTTTATGTTATTTTGTTTCTGAGAATGCAGAATATATCTGGCTATATTGGCCAGCAGCAACTATAGGCAATCATTAGCGTTGCCTTTCAGCTACAGTTTTTAATAGTAATATAAGAGCAATGGGTGGTGTTGTGTCCTTGAAAAGTTTTTCTTTTTTAACTCTCCTTTTCAAATCTAGCTTTTTTTAAATCACACATATATCACTTCTCTAGTTGTTGCATAAGACTGATTACACAAACCTGATTTAAATTTTCAAATATTTGTTAAATGAATTAATGGCATTTTATCTTCATGTGCTTCAAATCTCAAAGTTGCTTTTCTGTTGCTGAACAGCAAAAGTTTGTTCAACCTTTTTTATCTTTAATATTATATTGGACTTCATTTTCAGGTGTATGAATTGACATTAGCATGAAAATGCAAGAAGAAATTATTCAATAATATATGATGTTACAGGCGATGTTAGATTCTTTCTCAGTAAATTTTTAAATAGACTACTACTTTGATAGAGTACCAGATGACATTCATTTTTAATATGAGAATTGAGTATATATTAATAATTGCTTTGGCACATTTTTGCCCCATTTGTATTCCTGGGAATGACCTCACACAATTGTATTGTCTTTCAAGTAGAAGACTCATTTAAAAGAGGCCTAATTTTATGACACTGGGCAGCTTATTCACTCTGCACATTAGATGTGAGATAAGGACAGCTAGAAACTTTCACAGGTGAATGCCTTATTTACTAATGTGATACAAAAGTACATTTTGCTCTTCTTTTGTATTTCTATTTAAATGCATACATGAAAAACAACATGCTCAACTAACCTCAATAGGAAGACTGAATGCAGCCATTATCTAAGTGGTACGAAGGCTATACCATCTGCTACAATTATTCCCAAATTTCAGTTGATTTGCATTTCCAGTTGTTTTTACTGGAAAGGGCCATCTGTTCACTTTAATTATATACTTTTCAAATTTTTTATGTTATGTATGTCTAGCCTCAGTAAACTACAACATAATGTAAAGAAGTTATTTCTGCAATTTTTTTGAATCAATTAAATGACATGAAAGTCTAAATAATGTGATAAACTGTAAAATGACATTATGCATTTGTTCCCCACAAGCCATTATATTAAAATGACTTGAAGTATTAAATTTAGTCTAAATAATTTGTAATTTATTCTATTCTATCATAAATCATTCTGAGACATATTTTTCTGTCAATACATGAAACCATTAGCATTTCTTGCATAAAAATCAGAAAAATACTACAGATTAAAAAATGAAGAAATGTATTTGGCTAGAGCTGGGTTTTGTTTGTTTTATTATTTGCTTGTTTTGTTGAAGTTTTACTTTTTATCTAGTTCTATTTTAAATTGTCATTTAAAAATACCCTGGTGATAGCATTCTAACCCAATAATTGAGATAATGTTGAATTTCTATCATTTTAAAAGTCAACAGTGTCATATATAATGATGCATTGATATGGTTTGGTTGGGTGTCCCCACCCAAATCTCATCTCCAATTGTAATCCACATGTGTCGAGGGAGACACCTGGTGGGAGGTGATTGGATCATGGGGGCAGTTTCCTTCATGCTGTTATCATGATAGTGAGTGAGTTTTCATGAGATCTGATGGTTTTATAAATGGCAATTTTCCCTGCACTCTCTCGCTCTCCTGCCACTTTGGGAAGAAGGTACTTGCTTCTCGTTTACCTTCTGCCATTATTGTAAGTTTCCTGAGGCCACTACAGCTATGTGGAACTGTGAATCAATTAAGCCCCTTTATTTTATAAATTACCTAGTCTCTAGTATTTCTCTGGTACTTAGAGTGGGGCACTGCTATAAAGATAACCTGAAAATGTGGAAGTGACTTTGAAACTGGGTAACAGGCAGAGGTTGGCACAGTTTGGAGGGCTCAGAAGAAGACAGGGAGAAGTGGGAAAGTTTGGAACTCGCTAGAGACTTGTTGGTTTTGACCCAAATGCTGATAGTGATAAGGACAATGAAGTCCAGTCTAATGTGGTCTCAGATGGAGATGAGAAACTTGTTGGGAACTGGAGCAAAGGTCACTTTTGCTGTCCTTTAGCAGAGAGACTGAATGCATTTTGGCCCTGGCCTAGAGATATGTGGAACTTTGAACTTGAGAGAGATAATTTAGGGTATCTTCCAGAAGAAATTTCTAAGTAGCAAAGCTTTCACGGGGTGACCTGGTTGATTCTGAAAATGTTCAGTTATATATGCTCATGAAGAGATGGTTTGAAATTGGAACTTATGTTTAAAGAGGAAGCAGAGTGTGAAAGTTTGGAAAATTTGCAGCCTGATCATGTGGTAGAAAAGAAAAACCCACTTTCTGGGGAGGAATTCAAGCCAGCTGCAGATATTTGTATAAGTAACAAGGAGCCAAATGTTAACAGCCAAGACAATGGGAAAAATGTCTCCAGGACATGTCAGAGATCTTCATGGCAGCCCCTCCCATTACAGGCCCAAAAGCCTAGGAGGGAAAAATGGTTTTCTGAGGCTGACCCAGGGCCCAGCTGCTCTGTGCAGCCTCGGGACTGCCCTGCGTCCGAACTGCTCCAGCTTTAGCTTTGGCTAAAAGGGGCCCACATGCAGCTCAGGCCATTGCTTCAGAGGGTGCAAGCCCCAAGCATTGGCAGCTTCTATGGGGTGTTGGGCCTGTGGGTATACAGAAGTAAAGAGTTGAGCTTTGGGAACCTCTGCCTAGATTTCAGAGGATGTATGGAAATGCCTGGATGTCCAGGCAGAAGTCTGCTTCAGGGATAGAGCCATCTGGGAGAAACTCTGCTAGGGCAATGCAGAAAAGAAATGTGGGGTTGGAGTCCCCACACAGAATCCCCACTGGGGCACTGCCTAGTGGATCTGTGAGAAGAGGGCCACTGTCCTCCAGACCCCAGAAATATAGATCCACTGATAGCTTGCAATGTGCCCTAGAAAAACCACAGGTACTCAATACCAGCCTATGAAACCAGCTGCAAGTGCTGAACCCTGCAGAGCCACAGAAGCAGAGCTGCCCAAGGCCTTGGGAGCCCACCCCTTGCATCAGCCTGCCCTGGATATAAGACATGGAGTCAAAGTAGATTTTGGAGCTTTAAAATTTATGACTGCCTGGCCAGGTTTTGGACTTGCACGGGGCCTGTAGCCCCTTTGCTTTGTTTTGGTCAATTTCTCCCATTTGAACTGCTAACATTTACCCAATGACTGTACCCTCATTGTATCTTGGAAGTAACTAACTTGCTTTTGATTTTACAGGTGTATAGGTTGAAGAGATTTGCCTTGTCTAAGATGAGACTTTGGACTTGGACTTTTGAGTTGATGCTGGAATGAATTAAGACTTTGGGGGACTATTGGAAAGGCATAATTGGTTTTGAAATATAAAAAGAACATGAGATGAGGGAGGGGCCACGGGCACAATTATATGGTTTGGCTCTGTGTCCCCACCCAAATCTCATGTCAAATTGTAATCCCCACCTGTCAAGGAGGGGACCTGGTAGGAGGTTATTGGATCATGGGAGCAGTTTCCCCCATGCTGTTTTCATGACAGTGAGTGAGTTCTCATGAGACCTGATGGTTTTATAAATGGCAGGTTCCCCTGCACACTGTGCTCTCTTCTGCCGCCTTGGGAAGAAGGTACTTGCTTCTACTTTGCCTTCTGTCATGATGGTAAGTTTCCTGAGGCCTCCCCTGCAATGCAGAACTGAGTCAGTTAAACCTCTTTCCTTTATAAATTACCCAGTCTTGGGTATTTCTTTATAGAAGCATGAGAATAGACTAATGCATGCATTAAAATAGCTTTTTGAGGTATATGAAGATATAAATGTTAAGACTACAGAAAAAAAATATGCGTATCTAAGGGCTAATCACTATTAGCCATCCTGTTTCAATTATTTGTAAATTCAAGGTTGGGAAAATTTAAATGTATTTATTTTCCAAGAAGCATTTCTAGCTATCTGGCTTATTTGCTGCTACCAATAATTAGGGAAAATGTACATTTTGGGAATAATTGATAAATAAATTAAAGTCATAGCTGAAAATTGTATTGCATTCATTAAAGTGTCTCAATTAGATTGAAACATGTTCTGGTAACCTGTGAGTAGCAATTCTCACTGTCCATTTATTTTTCAGTTCAGACAAACCTACAATTCATTGATATGATAATAAAATGCTTTATTTGGAGTACATAGTTTTTATCGAGTTTAGAATATGGGATAATCCATTCACCATTTTATCTATAATCTTCCTGAAAAACATCACCATCAATAATTAAAACTAGTGTTTATAACATAGTATCAAGATTACCAGCATCATTCATCATGATTATGATCCACAGACATTTTAAATTATTAGGCCTAATAGTTTCTCTTTATATAATTCACACTATTTGTACTACCAATTGTTTTTATAACTTTTATTTTTGCCTAAAAGCTTATTCTGGATATATTTCCATTTCAGAATAAAACAAAACCTAAAATTATGCACTTTTAAAAATAGGTGCACTGTATCTTACCATATGCATTTGCCAAAATTGATTAATAATCTTCCCATTATGAGATACTTAGCCTTTTTCCTGCCTTTCAGCAACATAAGCAATGATGATCAAATATTATTGCATTCTTATATGATACATATATGTCTGAGTACATCCTTAGGACACATTCCACACATGAACTAAAATATATAATTTTAATTTATGTTCTATTCAACAAATAATATTGTATATATTTATGGTGTCTGGTGTGATATTTTGACATACATACATTGTGAAATATTAAATCGAGCTAATTAACGTAACTATACACTGTCACATTCATTGTGTTTTATACTGGGAACATTTAAAATCTAGCCTTTTAGCGATTTTCAAGTACACAATACATTATTATTAACTATAGTCACCAGGCTGTACTATAGAACTTCAGAAGTTATTCCTCCTCTCTTGCTGAAACTTTGTACCCTTTGCCATCATCTCCCGACCCCATCCCCAGTCCCTGGTAACCACTAAGCTGCTTCTGTGAGTTCAATATTTTTGAATTCCACATACCAGTGGGATCATACAGTATCTGTCTTTCTGTGCCTGGCTTATTGTACTTGACATAATGTCCTCCACATTTATTCATATTGTTGCAAATGAAAGATTTTTTTCATTTTTAAGGCTGAATAGTATTTCATTGTGCGTTTGTATATATATGTGTATATATATAGGTGTGTGTATATATATATATATATATAGGTGTGTGTATATATATATATATATATATATATATACACACACAGACACACATGTATATATCACATTTTCCTTATCAATTTATCTTTGACGGATAGTTTGATTTCATATTTTGGCTATTATAAATAATAGTGCAATAAAAACTGGAATGCAGATATATTTTCAACATGTGACTTCATTTTCTTTGGATATATACACAAAAGTGGAATTGCTGCATTATACATTAGTTCTATTTTAAATTTTTTGAGAAACCTTCACACTATTTTCCAACACAAATACACCATTTTACATTCCCAACAACAGTATATAGGAAATATATTTTCTCTACTTCCTTGCCAATACTTGTTAAGTTTTGTATCTCTGAATAGCCATTCAACGAAGTGTGATGTGATGTCTCATCATGGTTTTACTTTGTATTTCCCTGAGATTCTATTCAACATCTCATATATCTGCTCACCATATGCCCGTCATCTTTGGAGAAATGTATATTCACACATTTAATCCATTTTTTATCAGGTATTTTTTCTTGCTATTAAGGGACCTTATTTATTTTAAATATTAACTCCTTATCTAAAGGATAAGGTTTGGTTTGTAAATATTTTCTCCCATTTCATAGGCTGTTTTTTCACCTCACTCAGTTGAGTTTTAACCAGGCTTTGCAGAAGTGTTTAGTTTGATGCAATCCCATTTTTCTGCATTTGCTTTTGTTGCTTGTACTTTTAAGTTCATATCCAAAATATCATTGCCAAGACCAATGTGAAGAAGTTTTTTCCTGTGTTTTCTTTTGTATGTCGAGCATCCCTAATCTAAAAATCTAAAACCAAAAATTTTCCAAAATCTAAAATTGGGCACTGGCATGATGCCACAAGTGGAAAATTTCACACTTGACCTCATGTGACAGATTGCAGTAAAAATTCAGATGCATAACACATAGGTCATTTAGCATCTTTGAGGGAAAAGACTTTTCCAGCCCACTTCAGCTGCAACATATCTTTTTCAAGCATTCCCACCAATGATCATAAAATTGCATGTGTACAGGCCAGATGTGCTAACAGCCGGTTCCCCACTATGCTTCAGATGGGACCAAACCTACATGTGTTACTTACTATGTTTGTTGCTTATTATTTGCTCTGTGATGTAATGATATTGTTGAATACGTAAAAGGCCTGCAGATTTCTCTATGAGTAACAGTGATAAGGAAAAAAATATTTATGTTCACTTATAGCACAGAAAGTCAAACTGTTGAAGAATCTGGACAGTGGTGTAAGTATGAAAAGTCTTACAGAATTACATGGTATTGGAAAGACTAACATATATAAGTGATTTTGTCCTTGTGCAAACCTCATAGAATATACTCACACAAACCTACTATATACCTAGGATATACAGCATAGCTCATTTTCTCTAGGCTACAAACCTGTACAGCATGTGACAGTACTGAATACTGTAGGTAACTGGAACACAATGGTATTTTTCTAGCTAAACATATCTAAACATGGAAACAGTACACTATATTATGGTATAAAAGTGTATAAACATGGTACACCTTTGTAGGGCACTTACCCTGAATGGAACTCACAGAAAGTTGCTCTGGCTTAGTCAGAGAATGAGTGGTGAGTGAATGTGAAGGCCTAGCACATCACTATATACTATGGTAGATGTTATAGACATTGTACTCTTAGGCTACACTACATTTGTTTTAAAAACTAAAGCAATTTCACTATAACGTTATGATGGCTATGACATCACAAGGTGATAGAAAATTTTTAGCTCCATTATACATAATATTTTGGTACCACTGTTGCATATGTGGTCCATAATTGACCAATATGTTGTTATACAGTGCAAAACTATATCATAAAATAAAAAAGAAAATGGAAAAGGAAAAGCAAGTTAAAAAGTAAACAGAACATAGGAAATAATACACATCAGAGAGGATATCAGTAAAATAGCAGGGAGGAAAACAAAGAAAAACAAAGACACAAATTACCAATTTGAATAATGATAAATGACAGTAATTTCTTTATATATTCTACAGATAAAATGAAAAAGAGAATAGAAAGTTTATACCTAAAATTTAGCAAATAACATTAAAGAGCCAACTTCCTTGAAAGACACAAATTGTTTGAGCTCATACAAAAAAGTGAATAAAATGAATAGATGTATGTACATTAAGTAAATGTGATAGAATAAGGATCGTCCTAAAACAAATTTTCAGCCCCAAGTGCTTTAAATGAGGAATTCTACCAAAATTTAATAATAAATAATACCGAACACATGTTCACATGTGTTTATCACAGCACTATTCACAATAGCAAAGACATGGAATCAACCTAAATGTTCATCAGTGATCGAATGGATAAAGAAAATGTGATACATATACACCAATGAATACTATGCAACCATTAGCAAGAGTAAGATCATTTCTTTTGCAGGAACATGGATGGAGCTGGACACCATTATTCTTAACAAACTAACACAGGAACAGAAAATCGAATACTGCATGTTCTCACTTGTAAGTGGAATCTAATCAACGAGTATGTATGGACACAAGGAAGGTAACTTTTCATCTCCTTTTAGATTTTTTGGACATCGGGGTCTACTTGAGGGTGAAGAGTAGGAGGAAGTTGAGGATCAAAAAACTACCCATTGGGTAGTATGCTTATTGCCTGGGTGATAAAATAATCTGCATAACAAACCCCCATGACACAGGTTTACCTATGTAACACTCCTGCACTTGTACCCCTGAAGTTAAAATAAAAGTAAAATTAAAAAAAAAAATTGAAAAGAAGGGAACACTTCCCAACTCATTCTATTAACCAGCATTATGACAACACCAAAACCAGATAGATAGATAGATAGATAGATAGATAGATAGATAGATAGACAGACAGATAGATAGATAGATATCTAACATAGAAAACTACAGACCAATATTTCTCATAAATATATTAAATGATTCTAAAATAAATTTTAGAAAATTGACTGTAACACAATGTTAAATAATAATATGATGATAATACATCATGGTCAAGAATGATTTCACGGCCGGGCGCAGTGGCTCACGCCTGTAATCCCAGCACTTTGGGAGGCCGAGGCGGGCGTATCACAAGGTCAGGACATTGAGACCATCTGGCTAACACGGTGAAACCCTGTCTCTACTAAAAATGCAAAAAATTAGCTGGGCGTGGTGGCGGGAGCCTATGGTCCCAGCTACTCGGGAGGTTGAGGCAGGAGAATGGCGTGAATCTGGGAGGCGGAGCTTGCAGTGAGCTGAGATCACACCACTGCACTCCAGCCTGGGCGACAGAGTGAGACTCCGTCTCAAATAAATAAATAAATAAATAAATAAATAAATAAATAAATAAATAAAAGAATGATTTCACAAAAAATACAAGATTTGCTTAACATTCAAAAATCTTTCAAAATTTTTTACCATATAAATAAACCAAACAGAAACATCACATAATACATTTAATATACACACACACACAAATTGAAGAATAATCCAGCATCTATTCTTGTTAAAGCACCTCAAAACCTGAAAGGAGATGAAAAGTTTCTTAATCTTAAAATAGATGCATTCAAAAAGGTATAGCTAACATCATAATTAATAGTAAAAATTGAATGCTTCCTCCCTCTTCTAGGACCAGGAACAAGGTAAAGATATTTTACCTTACCTCTTTTATTCAACGTTGCACTGGTGGAAATAACTAGTATAATATGAAAGACAAATGTATAAAATACGTCCAATTTTGAAAGGTAGAAGTAAAAGCTATCTGTATTTCCATATCAAATGCCTATACTCCAGGGGAAAGGAGTTTACCAAAGCCTTATAACAAACACACGGGTTAAGGACACTTACTCAACTCCAGTCTTTTTAGCCTTCCTGTCTCACCTAAGTGTGGGAATAGCTAAGAAAAAAACGTGTAAAGAACATATCAAGGGGAAACAACCACTACAAGCTGGAGAATTAATCATAACATTATAAAATGCATTACTTCCCTTTACTGGTACATCAATAAATCCTTAGTATATCAACAGGAGATTTTAGCTGAGAAAGCAGTACTGTGCAGACTATATTTAATAAGTAGTTTCTAGGTAAATGTAAAGACAATAGGAATAAAAAAAACTCACTAGAGAAAATTGGAACGTCTGGCATCTACAGGTACAGCCAACATTACACCCAACTCAACTCTTAGATAAATTAACAAAAAAAACCCAACATAAAAATTTCTCATTTTCTATTGACTGATATATTATGACCAACTTTCTTTTTTTTTAAATAGATGCTACAGTTTGTTTCACTTTTTACCTATTTTTGAATTTTGTAGTTTTAGGTTGCTTCTAATTTTTCTTTTAAAATTTACACTGACAAAAAAATTCTAAAAATAAAGCTTTTATCTCTAGCTCTGTTTATTTCTAAAGGGTAATTCTTAGAAGTAGAATTATTGTGCTAATTACTATTGATAAATGGTTAACAATAGGTAAAGTCATTTTTTTTTAAATGGAGTCTCGCTCTGTTGTCCAGACTGGAGTGCAATGGCACGACCTTGGTTCACTGCATCTATCTTAAGATGAGTCCTTAAAAGGAGAAAATTTTTCCCACTCTAATTACAGAGATGTAGAAGAGGAAATCAGAATGATTCAAATCATGAGAAGTTTTTGGCATCCATTGTTACCTTGAAAATAAAGGGAGTCATTTGCCAGGAAGAAAATAATAGAAAAGAAAGAAGGAAAGGAGAGGAGAGGAGAGGAGTGGAGAGGAGAGGAGAGGAGAATGGCTTTACTCCTACAGCCACAAGAAGCAAATTTCTATTACAAATTTGAATGAAGCTGGAAGTGTTTCTTTTTTTTTTTTTTTTGCTCCCTGAGTCTCAAGAAAAGAGCTGCAGCCTTGTGAGATCCCAAGCAAAAAACACAGTTGAGTCACACTATATCCAAATATACATACCTGTATGTATGCATTTATTTATGCAAACATGCACTATTTATATTATTTCTATGTGTGTGTGTGTGTGTGTGTGTGTGTGTGTGTGTGTGTGTGTGTGTGTATAAATAAAATCAGGAGGAACCAATAGTAGGTAACTCCAATTCCACTCAGCAGAACCAGTTCTACAATTTGTTTCTTTATGTGTTGATAGAGAAGCCCCATGTACAACAATGTAAAACCTGGCTACAATTAACCAAATATATTTACTTATTTAGTTAGTCCTATAATTTACAAAAAGAAAGTTATTTTCAGAAATGCTAACACAAGTTTTAGAAAATAAATCTAGTAATTAGAGTTTAATATTTTCTTTTTTTTTTTTGCTACATAGTATCTGTATATATTTATGGTGTATATGCAATGTTTTGATAAGGGCATGCAATGTCAAATAATCACATCATGGAGAATGGAGTATCCATCTCCTCAAGCATTTGTCATTCGAGTTAAAAACAATCAAATTACACTAATTAAGTTATTTTAAAACATACAATTAAGTTATTATTGACTATGGTCACCCTATTGTGCTATCAAATAATAGGGCTTATTCATTCTTTGTAACTTTTTTTTGTACCCGTTAACCATCCCCACCTCCCCCAACAACCCCCACTACCCTTCTCAGCCTCTTGTAACCATACTTCTACTCTCTATCTCCATGAATTCAAATGTTTTGATTTTTAGATCCTCAAATAAGTGAGAACATGTGATGTCTTTCTGTGTCTGGCTTATTTTACATAGCACAGTGATCTCCAGTTCCATCCATGTTGTTGCAAATGCCTGGATCTCATTCTTTTTATGGCTGAAGAGTACTCCATAGTGCCTAAGTACAACATTTTCTTTATCCATTCTTCTGTTGGTGGACAATTAGGTTGCTTCCAAAACTTAGCTAATGTAAACAGTGCTGCAACAAACACAGAAATACAGATATCTCTTTGATATACTGATTTTCTTTCTTTTGTGTATATACCCAGCAGAGGAGTTGCTGAATTTTTAGTTTTGTTGAGGGACCTCCAAACTGTTCTCCACAGTGGTTGTACTAGATTACACTCCAACCAACAGCGTGGGAGGGTTTCTTCTCCACATCCTCGCCAACATTTGTTATTGCCTGTCTTTTAAATATAAGCCATTTTAATTGGAGTGAGATAATATCCCATAGTAGTTTTGACTTGTATTTCTAGAATGATCAATGATGCTGAGTACCTTTTTATATGCCTGCTTTGCAAATGTTATGTTTTCTTTTGAGAAATGTATCTTCAAATCTTTTGCCAATTTTTGATCAGATTATTAGACTTTTTCTTATAGAGTTGTTTCAGCTTCCTATATATTTCAGTTTTTAATCTCATGACAGATGGGTAGTTTGCAAATATTTTCTCCCATTCTGTGAGTTGTCTCTTCACTTGTTTATTGGATCCTTTGCTGTGCAGAAGCTTAAGTTGATGTGATCTCATTTGCTGTTTCTGCTTTGGTTGCCTGTGCTTGTGAGGTATTGCTCAATAAGTATTTGCCCAGAAAAAATGTCCAGGAGATTTTTCCCAATGTTTTCTTGTAGTAGGTTTTATAGTTTGAGGTTTTTGATTTAAGTCTTTCATCCACTTTTATTTGATTTTTGTATAAATGGGGGTCTGGTTTCATTCTTCTGCATATGATTATCCACTTTTCCCAAAACCGTTTATTGAGGAAACTGTCCTTTCCCCAGTGTATGTTCTTGAAAATTTTTTCTAAAATGAGTTTACTGTAGGTGTGTGTATTTGTTTCTGGTTCTTGATTCTGTTCCATTAGACTCTGTGTCTGTTTTTATGCCAGTTTCAGGCTGTTTTGGTTACTATAGCTCTGTAGTATAATTTGAAGTCAGGTAATGTGATTCCTCTGATTTTGTTCTTTTTGCTTAGGATAGCTGTGGATATTTTGGGTCATCTGTAGTTCCATATAAATTTTAAGATTTTTTTTGTGAAGAATATCATTGGTATTTTCATACAGATTGCAATGAACCTGTAGATTTTGGGGGGTTGTATGGACATGTTAACAGTATGGATTATTTCAATCCATGAACACGTAATATTTTTCTATTGTTTGGTGTCTTCTTTAATTTATTTCATCAATATTTTATAGTTTTTGTTATAGAGATTTTTCACTTCTTTGTTTAATTTCTAGGTATTTAATTTTATGTGTGGCCATTGTAAATAGTGTATAGGGATTACTTTTTTACATTGTTCATTATTGGAATAAAGAAATTCTACTTATTTTTTATGTTGATTTTGTGTCCTTGAACTTTACTAAATTTGTTTATCAGTTCTAATAGTTTTCCTGCGGAGTCTTTAGGTTTTTTTTTTCAAATATAGGATTATATCATCTTAAAACAAGGATAATTGAATTTCTTCATTTCCAATTTGTGTGTCCTTTATATCTTTCTCTTGTCTACTTGCTCTAGCTAAAACTTCCAATATTATGTTGAGTAACTGTGGTGACAGTGGGCTTCCTTGTCATGTCCCACATCTTAAAGGAAGGGCTTTATGTATTTCTCCATTCAGTATGATACTACCTGTGGGTCTGTCATATATTTTATTGTGTTGAGGTATGTTCTTTCCATCCTGTTTTAAGAAGGTTTTTATCATGAAGATATGTTGAATTCTGTGAAATGCCTTTTCAACATCAGTTGAAATTATCATATGAATTTTATCCTTTATTCTGCTGATATGATGTATCATATTGATTGATTTGCATATGCTGAACCATCCTGGCATCCCAGTGATAAATTTCACTTGGTCATGATAAATAATATTTCTAATGCATTGTTGAATTCAGTTTGCTAGTATTTTGCTGAGAATGTCTGCATTAATATTCATCATATATATTGGGCTGTAGTTTCCTCTTTTTGATGTGTCTTTGACAAGTTTTGGTATCAGGGTAATACTGACCTTGTAGAATGGGTTTGAAAGTATTCCCTCCTCTTCTATTTTTCAGAAGAGTTTCAGTAGGATTGGTATTGTTTAAGTGTTTGGTATAATCCAGCAGTAAAGCCATCAGGTCCTGAGTATTTATTTAGGGAAGAATTTTTATTATGACTTTAATCTGATTACTTGATATTGGTCTGTTCAGGTTTTAGGTTTTTTCCCAGTTCAATTTTTTTAGGTTGTATGTATCTAGGAATTTATGTATTGTCTTCTAGATTATCCACTTTATTGGCATATAGTTGCTCTTAGTAGCCACTTATGATCCTTTGAATTTCTGTTGTATTAGTTGCAATGTCTCTGTTTTCATTTCTGATGTTATATGGATCTTCTCTCTTTTTTCTTAGCCTGGCTAAAGATTTGTCAGTTTTGTTTAACTTTTTTTAAAAAACAACTTTTTCTTTCATTAGTCTTTTGTATTGTTTTCTTCATTATAATTTTATTTATTTTTGCTTTGATCTTTATTATTTTCTTTTACTAATTTTAAGTATGACTTGCTCTTGCTTTTCTAGTTCTTTAAGATGTATTGTTAGATTGTTTATTTGAAGTTTTTTCTTTGTTTTGATGTAAGCACTTATAGCTATAAACTTCCCTCTGAGTACTGCTTTTGCTGTATCCCATAAAAGTTGGTATGTTGTGTTTTTATTATCATTTGTTTTAAAACATTTCAAATTTTCTTCTTAATTTCTTCATTGACCCACTGGTCATTCAGGAGAATATTGTTTAATTTCCAGGTAATTGTATAGTTTTAAAGGTCCATCCTGTTATTAATTTCTAGCTTTTTTCTATTGTGGTTAGGGAAGATATTTGATATTATTTCAATTTTTTAACATTTTAAGACTTGTTTTTTGACCTAACATATGGTCTATTCTTGAGAATGATCCATGTGCTGAGAAAAAGAATGTGTATTCTGAAGCTCTTCAATAAAATACTCTGTAAATATCTGTTAAATCCATTTGGTCTATAGTGCAGATTAAGTCTTTGTTAATGTTTGTTTCTTTGTGGATTCTCTGTCTGGCAGATCTGTCCAATCCTAAAAGTGGGTTGTTGAAGTCTCCAACTATTATTGTATTCGGGCCTATTTCTCTCTTTAGCTCTAATAATATTTCCTTTGATAGCTGGGTGCTATAATGTTGGGTGCATATATATTTAAAATTGTTATATTCTCTTGCTGAATTGACCCCTATACTATAAACTGTATAAATTGTACAGTTACCTGCTTTGTCCCTTCTTATAGTTTTTGTCTTGAAAACTATTTTGTCTGATATAATATAGCGACTATTGCTTTTTTCAGTTTTCCATTGGCATAGAATGTTTTTCCCATCCCTTTACTTTCAGTCTATGTGTGTCTTTATAGGTGAAGTATTTTTCTTGTATGCAACAGATTAGTGGGTTTTGTTTTTTCATCCATTCAGCCAGTCTAGGTCTTTCGATTGGAAAGTTTAGTCCATTTATATGAAAGAGTGAGAGAGAGAGAGAGAGAGTTTGTTATTAGGAATTATCTCATGTTGCTACTAATTGGATAAATCCCAAGGTCTGCAGTCAGCAAGCTACGTACCAAGGGAAGCTGATGGTATAGCTTCAGTCTGAGTCTGAAGTCCTGAGAACCAAGAAAACAAGTAACATAAGTTCCACTTCAAGTCTGAGTATGAAGGCAGGAGAAGAAAATCTCAGATGAAAGACAGGCAGAGAAACTAATTTCTCTCTTAATCATTTTGATCCATTCAAGCCTTCAACAGATTGGATGCAACCTGCCTACATTGGGAAAGGCAACCCGTTTTACTCAGTCTACCATTCTAATGCTGATCTCATCCAGAAACACCCTCACTGACACATGCAGAATAATGTTGAATCTAATATCTGCCACCTTGTGGTCAAGTTGACACATAAGATTGATCATCACAAGTCCACTGGGGGACTGTTGGAAGGGCATGATTTTGTTTTGAAAAGTGAAGACACGAGATTTGGGAGGGGCCAGGGATGGAATTATATCGTTTGGCTCTGTGTCCCCACACAAATTTCACCGTGAATTGTTATAATCCCCACATGTCAAGAGCAGGACCAGATGGAGATAATTGAATCATGGGGGCGGCTTCCCTCATGCTGTTCTCGTGATAGTGAGTTCTCATGAGATCTGATGGTTTTATAAGGAGCTTTCCCCTTAGCTCAGCACTGATTCTCTCTCCTGCCACCTTGTAAAGAGGTACCTTCTGCCATGATTATAAGTTTCCTGAGGCCCCCCAGCCATGTGAAACTATGAGTCAATTAAACCTCTTTTCTTGATAAACTACCCAGTCTTCGGTACATCTTTATTAGCAGTATGAGAATGGACTAATACAAGCCCTCAACAGAATCACCCTTAGTACTTCATTTATAGCAATACAAACTTTTCTAAGTCTTCACTTCAATACTGTTACAGACTCTGTCCATTACTTTATTCCCAACCTGCTTCCACATGTTTTTTAAAAAAAAAATTTGTAGGTACATAGTAGGTATATATATTTATGTATATATTTATGGGGTGCATAAGATAGTTTGATACAGGCATACAATGCATAATAATCACATCAGCATAAATGAGGTATTTGTTTTAGGAATGTCCTACTCCTATAGTACCAATTTCTTTCTCAGTAAATTTTGTGCTGCTACAATATTATACCTGAGACTAGGTAATTCATAAAAATCAGAAACTTTTTCTCATGGTTCTGAACGCTGGGAAGTTCAAAATCAAGGCACCAGCATTTGGTCTGTTGAGGGGCTTCTTGCTGTGACTTCACATAGTAGAAGGCAGAAGAGCACACTAGCCGAATGCTTTGTGAAGCCTCTTTTACAAGGACCTTAATGTCGTTAATGAGAAAAAGAGCAGCCTTCATGGCCTAGTGATCTCTTAAAGGTCTCACTACTTAATAATTGCCCAAACCTGATTTTTAGAGGGGACACATTCAAACCATAGCATTCTGGTAAGTCTTTAGGATCCTTTCAAAAATGCCGGTGGGGAGATAAACAGTATAAATTTTTGACAGTGTACGCGAGTCCTTCCTGGAGAAGTCACAGTCTCCCTTTTATTCAAGGGGTTCTGAGTCTGTGAATTGGATCAAGTCTGGGGATTAATTAAAGGGGTTGACTGTTTTTTTTTTTATTCAAGTTAGACTTTTTCTCACTTGAGTAGTATTTTCTGCTCATGCAGATTAAATAAGAATGTAGCAGACTTCCTGTCTATTTCACTTCTGGCAACACCATGATCAACTAGCCAACACCATAGGTCTATGAGTCAGATTCTTTTGATTACTGCTTTGACTCTGCTATCCATTATGAGAAACATAACCCCACTGCCTTTAGTAGCTGAGTGCTGTCATGTGATCCCTGCCACCCAGAGATCTAATTACTGCCATTGCATTTAGTTTTCCCAATTCGGGGACTGCAGTCCCCAGGATAAGGTCTGGCCTACAGAGAAAAGTGAACACAGAGCTGCTCAAAAATTCCAAGCCTCCTCTCACAGATCTATTTCTTACAGTAGTGGTGAGAGATGTGTCTACTGGAAACTCTCGGTCATGTTAACTAAGTCTTAATTTTATGAATAAAGGCCTACTCTGCAATATGCCTAAGCTTTTCAACCACTTTATCTATATTTAACTTAGGCAGGTTGGGAATTTCCAATTCACTCACTGTAGGCTATCTTTTGGTTCATGCTTCAGTCAACCAACCAAATAAACTGTGAAAGTACTTTATAACTCTCTGATTCACAGCATTAAATGTGGAATCTCTACTTAATGAGCCCATATCAATACATTTAGTCTGTTCAAACTTTATATTTCTTCCTCCATTATCCCACACCTTTAATATCCATTTCCACACATATTCCTTGTATTTATGTCTGTATAAATTGGAAAACTCAAGTAAGTTTTCTGAAATGTAGTGTACTTCCTCAAAGGTCACACTTTGTGTCTCACTTTTTGGGGCCTGCCGGGACTGGAGTCTGGTTATAAATCTAGAAGCAGGTAAGGGTGGCGGAATGAGTTCTGAGAAGAATCAACATTGTGTTACATGGCACTGATTACAGAGAGTCCATTATAATTTCCTCAGGCAATGCAGGATTAAATCCCTCAGAAAGGGGTGTAAAGGCCACTACCACTTGGGGTGAGGAAGCCACTACTACTGAGGCTGAGGTGGCTGCTTCCAATGGTGTCAGAAAGTCTCTTCCACTGGCAAAGAAGACTCATCAAAATTGAGGGCCTCATCTCCCCAGCTTTATCAGGGTCTTTTCACACTCCACCATTCTAACATTCAATGTCCCATTCTTTCCTAATCTAAGCCCTCACTTTACTTTAACAGTAGACATGCTGTGAGGCTTTGAGTTCAACCTGTATTGTAATTCACACACTCAAAGGATGAGGTTTTGTATTTGATTTTCAGCAGCCTCAGTCAAGCAGTGACAGGCAATAAGGATCCTCTTCAGAGCACATATAAAAACATACATGATATTTGTCTCAGTAATATAGGTAGCTTCCCCTTTTTGGTCTGTTTTGTAGGGTTTTCATATAAGTGTTTAGGCTGAAATAAAATATTTTCTAAAGTAATCTGTTGCAATTTTATTTCTTATGTATTTAAAGCCATCATTGACTTCCATCTCACTTATTCATTATAATTTTTCTGAAATTTTCAATGCATCCCATATATTAATATTGAGATATTCTTACTTAAAGTCTAAAAGCAGCTCAAAAATATGCTTTTCAAATGAATCTATTCTATGGCTTCAAAAAATTTGAGAGTCACAGAATTAATATAGACAGATCTTCCCAATATTTTCTTTTCCTTTTTTAATTTTAGTTTTTTTTAGGCAATTGTATAAGTGATTTTTTCTGAATAATTTTGAAAGGAAATTGAAACCACTAAATGTATGACTGTCACTACTTCCAGATAGTACTCAGATTGTTTTTGAGAAATACGTTGTTTATTTTATTCTATCAATGACTAATAGTAAAACACCCAAAATCATTTCAATTAATTTGTAATGAATGTTTATCTAAAGTGTTGTAGTCCATATGTGTAAAATATTTATATTAGTGATAGACTAACATTTCTGAACAGCAATGAGCAACTTGAAATACTTCCTTCTTAATGAAACTAAGTATTATATTAAAAACTGACTAAATTGAACAGTTAAGCGGTGCATTGTGTATATATGCATACAAACACATTGAGGTAGACCAATTACAAGCAATCACCAAATTGTCAAAAGTTTATATTTTAAACCAAAATGCCTTCAGCTTTTGTTGACCTATATAGATTAATCAATAACTAAAAACCACTTATTCAAATTTTAAGCATAAAAATTTTTTTACATCTATGATTCAAGAAATAGAAGGTAAGAAAAAGTACATCTATATTTCAGAATCATAATATGAGATTATTCAATAATTTCAACACTCAAATGCTGTCCAATGGAAATATGACAGTTTTAGATTTTCTAGTAGTTACATTTAACTATGTAAAGGAAAAAAGTAAAAATTGTATTAATATGTTTTTGTTAACCCAATATGTTTATGATATTATCATTTAGTAAGTAATAATTATGAAAATATTAGTAAGAAATTTTAAGTTTTTACATCCTAAATTGTTAAAATCTGGTATTTTACAATTACAGCACATCCTTATTTGGATTACCAACCTTGCAAGTTCTCAATAGCCACATGTAGCTAGTGACTAATGTTTTCCTAAATGCAGTTCTAAACTAGTTAATCAAGATGGACAGCAATATTTTTGCTAGCATAAATCAGCATGTGGAACACTGATATTTTTGAACATTTAGCATTTAAGGGAGGTAATTTTTAAAACCTATTGATAAAATTTCTATTACAATTGTTAAAAAAACAAAACAAAATCACCTGCCAATGTGGATTTATTTTTTTGAGTGGTAACTGTTACTTGAGTTTGTACAGTGTGGCCCTGATCAATTTGTGGCAGAAAACAAAATTGCAGGACACTATTATAAATGACTTAGAAAATATGGAACTTTCTCAAAATGTTTTTGCAATCTCAACCAATCCAAAGAGATTCTACATATTTTTTAAAGAAATGAAATTTTGTGGGAGGTATTATTTAACTGACATATTTGCTATTTTCTTGAGCAAGTGGTCAAACTAATCAAGGCACATAGACATGGAAAGTTCTTGATATGTACAGAAATAACTTTTGATTTATTTATTTTTAACAAAATTAAAAATCAAAGGAAAATATTTCCATTAATGTGAACACATTCTTGTGGTAAAGCGATCTAGCTCTAAATTAGACATATCTAAGATTAAACTGTAATGTTTTCAATTACAGAGGTTTTTCGAATTATGATGGGGTTACATTCCAATAAACCCATCCTAAATTAAAATATTTTAAGTCAAAATGCATTGACTTACAAGATAAGATAATCAGGATTGTGGATTGTGGAAGTCCTAACTCATGTGCAATGGCCACTACTGGCTTGCCCACTTTGTGCTGAGCAATTACATTGTTTCACCTCAAGAGTAATTGCCTTCTTCTTCTTCTCACCAGGAAAAGCATGAGACACAGATGGACATTTTGTACATATGATGGGATGCAAAAACACAAAACACAATATCCCAAAACCACTGGCAACACAGTATACTGTAGCGGTTATTTAACCTGATGATCACATGGCTATCTGGGAACTGTGGCTCTCAGCCCCTGCCCAGTATCACAATAGAGTATGATGCTGCATATTGCTAGACTGGGAAAAGATCAAAATTCAAAGTATAGTTTCTATTGAATGTGTATTGCTTTCCCACCATTGTAAACTCAAAAATTCCTAAGTCAATCCGTTCTAAGTAAGGCTTAAAATAAGACCTCACTTCCTCAACTTTAAAGTGAGAAAAAACAACATCGATACAACAGGATAATTATAACTGTAATTTAAATTAGATGAGCATCAGCATATACAGCATAATGTCTGGCACCTGGTGAGCACTCACATTTGTGCATTAATGCAATATATGCAAACTTTCGTGATAGTATTTTTACTAATATTATTAATTTTGCTCTTAAAATTGATGCTAAATATTGTGTTTTGTTCTTGAAATTGATTATAAACAGTTTTAGTATTGGACATTAACCAGGTTAATTGCAGCCAACACAGAAAGACAAATCAGAGAACATATGCACTTGCTATAGTTTCAGCTAGTATTTGAAGGTAACTCTGGAAATAATTAATTGAAATTACAGAAGCCAAAAATAAGAAGAGTCATACATTTGGAAAGGATTAATTTGGATAAATTAATTCTAGGGGGATAAAATATGCATCTATATTCTGAGTAACTTACAGAAAATAAGGACCCAAACATTTGTCTAGGTGGTTATATGCCAGAACCACTATCTAGGAAGTTTAAGTGTTGTGTATAACATTTGTAAAGGCAGTGCTAGATTTAATTTAAAGATAATATTATAAATTCTTAAAACAGAATAAATTATAATATTTGCCACAGAATAATGATCAAAATGATTAAAACTGCATTTGAATTTTAGTCATAAGCTTTGAGAGTGAGTTCTGTTTAGAAAGTTAAAATAAAAATTTTGAAAAATGTATTTGTAAAAATTCCTTAATTTATATATATTTAAATAATATTCAAAAGGCACTGGCATATTTTTGGCCAGCTAAATTTCAAATTAATTTCTTTTATTAACAGCTACAAATATGTTTTTAAAAGAATGCAAGGTCCTTGGCAAGAAAATAAATAAATAAATACTAATGTTTTCCTCAAGCTAATAGTTTATTTCTAAAAAATTGACAAGATAATAATATCTTTAAAAATGCTTAAAATGCATTCCAAATCTACTAAAATTACAGAGAATAAAATAGCATGTTCCTATGAATGGGCTATAATAAGTGGCTATAGTCTGTCATATATACTTTCAATATTTCTAAAAGAATTATGTGAAACAAAATATTGTGCACACATTTGTTGTTCATTTTCCACCTTCATTTCTTCCTATGGCTGAATAATATTTCATTATATGAATATATCACATTTTGTTTAAACATGTTTCAGTTGATGTATAATGAGTTGTGCCCACTCTTTGGCAATTATGATTAATGCTTCTACAAACACTTGCATAGAAATTTTTGCATGGACATATATTTTCATTTCACTTTGGTATTTGTCTGGGAGTACGATTGCTGGGTCATATGCAAATGCCATGCTTAACTCTCTGAGAATTTGCCAAGCAGTTTTTCACCAGAAATATATGATGGTTTCAGTTTTTCCACATCCACACTAACACTTTTATTAACTATCTTTTTTATTGTAATCATCCTAGTGGGCATGAAGTGCTATCTCATTGTGGTTTTGATTTGCATTTGTATGGTGGTCAATAATGTGAAACATCTTTTCATGTGCTTATTGGCCATTTTTGAATCCTATTTGATGAAATGTGCAATCAGATTCTTTAACTATTTTTAACTGTGCTACCTGCTTTTTATTATTGAATTGGAGGTGTTTATGCATTTTAAACATATGTCCTTTATGAGAAATATAACTTTAAATATTTTTTCTATCCTCTGGGTTGTCTTTTTATTTCCTGACAGTATCTTTTGCAGTATAAATCTTTTAATTTTATGAAGTTCATCTTTTTTGTTATTGTTTATGTGCTTTTGGTGTCATTGCCTAACCCAATGTCATCAAATTTTACATGTATTTGATCTAAGGGTTTTATAGTTTAGCTCTTACATTTGAGGATTTGATCCATTGTGAGTTAATTTTTGCATGTGAAATAAAATGGAGTTCCAACATTTTTAAGATATTTAAAATTCCAATTCCAATTGTTTACTGTCATTATATAGCAATATGACTGACTTTTGTATACTGACCTTGTATCCTGCAAATTTTCCACAATGACTTCTTAGTTCTAAGAGTGGTTTTTGTAGTTTATAAAAAATGACTCTCTATAGCAATTATGCTGTTGGTGAATAGAGAGTTTTTGTTTTCCTTCTTTTCTGAACAGTATGTCTTTTACGTCCTTTTCTTGTTGCACTAGCTATAACTTAAAATATTATTCTAAATAGGGGTATTTAGACTTGAGATCTGCAATTGAGTTGCTTTCAATTTTAAGGGAAAAGCATTCAGTCTCGCACCAGTAATTGTGATATATAGCTAACTATTGGCTAACCATCAACAAACAATAACCAGATATTGGCTACTAGATAACAATAGCTAACTATTGGCTTTCTGCAGGTAATCTTTTTTAGGTTTAAGTTCCCTTCTTCCTTAAACTATTGAGAATTTAGATCATGGTTGGATATTCAATTTTGTGTACTGCTTTCCCTGCATTTATTGATGCGGCCATACAACTTTTTTCTTCTTTAGACTATTAATAGAGGCTGATTTTTAAAATACAGAAAGTATTATCATTTGGCTGGATCCTACTGTGTAATTATGTATTAGACATTTTATATATTGCTGCATTCAATTTGCTACTATTTTGTTGAGATTCTCCTATGTTCATGAGTATATTTGTCTATAGTCTTCTTTATCATAATATTGTATTTGTTTGTGGTTTAATTATCAGTGTAATGCTGGGCTCATAATGAGTTGGAAAATATTTCTTACTCTGCTAGTTTCTGAAAAAGACATGTGGTATTTAATGCTTCCTTAAGTATTTGGCAATATCAACTAGTGAAACCTTCAGGATCTGGAGATTACTGTTTTCTTTCTTCTTTGTTTCAAGGTGTTACATACAAGCTCTAATTATTTAAAAGATATGGGGTTATTTAGAGTTTCTATTCTTAAAACGAGTTTTGATAGGTAGTGTATATCTTGGAACTACTCTATGTCCCCTATGTTGTCAAATGTATGGGCATAAAGTTATTTGAAAGTTGGATTTTTTCAGTGTTGGTGAGGCCAAGCACCATGTTTTCTCGTTATTTTCTAATATTGGTAATGTTAATGTTGTCAATTATTTCTTAGTATAGTTTGGATTTGGCTAATTTTAATGATATTTACAGACAGCCAGGTTTTTTGTTTGTTTGATATATGACACCTGCGTTTTTTGTTTTAATTTCATTGATTTCTATTTTATACCTTTAAAATTATTATTTACTTGATTCTGCTTTTGTTTTAATTTGTTATTTATTTTAAAGATGAAAGCTTGTTACTAGTTTCATTTAGTTCTTAATTTCTACCATAAACATGTATTCCTAGAAATATCCCTCTAAACACTGCTTTAGGGGCATCAAAAAAATGCTATGTTGTATTTTCACTTCATTTCAGTTCAAAATCTTTTTGTATTGTTTTTGGGACTTCCTTATTGACTCATATACTATTTAGAAGTGTTCTAAATTATTCAGAAATATTTTTGGATTTTCCAATTATATTTATAATATTGACTTTTAGTTTAATTCTGTTGTTGTCTAGGGCATGCTGTGTATTATTTATATTATTTAAAATTAGCTAAATTGTTTTAATGGTACTGAATGTGTACTGCTTGGTGATCGTTGCTTTGAGAAAAATATATATTCTGCTATTATTAGAAAGTGTCCTATAAATCTGAAATAGGTCAGGGTAGTTGAAAGTGCTATTGAGGTCATCTTTATCTTTATTGATTTTTGCCTAGTATTTTGTCAGGCATAAACTCAAAAGTCTAAAGTCCAACATCTTATCTAAGTAGTATCTAAATCAGATATTTCCTTCCAACTGTGAGTCTGTAAAATTAAACATATTATCTGCGTCCAAAATACAATGATGGGACAGGCACAAGACAGACATTTCTATTCCAATAGGAACAAATAAGTAAAAAAGCGTGACAGGTCCCAAGCAAGTCTAAAACCCAACAAGGCAAACACTATTACCTCTAAAGTTTCCAGAGTAATTTTCTTTGTCTCAATGTCACTCAGGAGAAGGCCCTGCCTTCAGGACACATTCAGGAAAAGGTGATGCCCCTGCATCTTTTCCCTAGAAAAGTTAGGCCCCCAAGGCTTTAAGCAGCCTCATCCCCATAGCTTTTTTTGGAAAAGCCCACACCACAGATCATACAGCTATGACCCTAAAAGTCTGTGGTTTGTGAGGGGAGGTCCTGCTACAAGTCTCAGATGGTCATTTTCCAGTGAAGGATCTCTGCTGGTGATCCCACTCCACGTTATGCTTTTCTGCCTGGTTCCCTGCAGCTCAGCTCTCCGGGACATTCTTTCATATCTAGGTAGAGGCTTCTGTGCTCTTACAGCTTTCCTGGGCATAGGACATTGCTGTACTGGGGCCTACTATAGCTAGAACTCAGGCAGCTGGGTAGTACTGTAACTGAGTGCAGGAAGCAGAGCCTGTGACCCCGTATTACTCAGTAGACTTGACATGAGTGAGTAAAGAACCAGTGAGTTTGATGACAGGTAAAGATAAACTTTAGTTATCAAACTAAAATGGAAAAAAAGTAAAATAAATAAAAGCAAAGTAAAATCAAGCCAAACCAAAAAAGAACATCCAAGAATCATGGTAAAATTACAAAATGTAATTGGAATATTTGAAAGAGAAAAGATCAGAAGAAGTATTTGAAATAAAAATGACTGGAGAACTTTTCTTATTTAATAACAAACACATAACTACTGAATCAGGAAGCCAAAGAACAACCACCAGAATACATAACACTATTAATTTGTTGGGACTCTCATAACAAAACACCACAGATTGGGTAAGACTATGGTTTAAATAACAAATTAATTTTCTAACAGTTATGAAGTCCAGAAGTCTGAGATCAAGGTGTTAGCAAGTTTGATTCCTTCTGAGGCCTCTCTCCGTGGCTTGAATATGGCTGCCTTCTTGCTGTGGGTTCATATGATTATGTTCTTATGTATGTATGTGTCTGGTGTATCTTTCTGTGTTCTGTTCTTGTCTTTTTAAGAGGACATCCATTATATTAAATTAGGTCTCACTGTAATAAAAATGATTTTAACTTATTTACCAATTTAAAGGCTCTATCACTAAGTAAAGTCTTATTTTGAGGTTTTGGGGATTAGAGTACCAACATATTAATTGGGGTGGGGGGGCGGCATAATTCAGCTCATACCAATACATGACCCAAAAATTCACTTATGAATCTCATATACTGACTGTTTTCAACATGCAAGCATCAATTAATATAATCCACCACATTCATAGATTAAAAAAGAAAAAATATATAATTATATCAAATGATGCGGAAAAATCATTTGACAAAATCCAATACATATCTATGACAAAAACCTCAGTAAACTGGAAATAAAAGGGAATGTCATCAATTTTATAAAGAACATCTAAAAAATATGTAGCTGACATCATACTTAATAGTAAGAAACTGGACATGTATCCTCTAAAATCTGGAACAAGGTAAGAATATCCTCTCTTTCCACTCCTATTCATAATGTACCAGAATTTATAATTAGTGCAATAAGACAAAAAAGGAAATAAAACATATTACAATTGGAAAGAGAGATATAAAACTATCTGTATTTGCAGATGCCATTTTTAAATAATCAACCAAAGAACTCCTTGAAGTAAGTATAGCAATGTCTCAAGATACAAGATTAATATATGAAAGTCAATTGCTTTTATATATTCCAGCCATGAACAATTCAAATTTTCAATTTAAATAAAATAATACCACTTATAATGGCATCCTGAATAAGAAATACTTAAGTATAAATCAAACAAAATATGTACAGAGCCTATATACAGAAAACTAAAAAAACACGGATAAAAAAATAAAATAACTAAATAGATAGAAATTCCATTTTCCTAATTTGGAAGATGCCTTATTGTTAAAATATAAATTAATTCCAACTTGACCTACACAATCTGTATTCCACTGTTCTCACACTGCTATAAACTACCCAAGACTGGGTAATTTATGAAGAAAAGAGGTTTAATTGACTCACAGTTCTACCGGCTTAACAGGAAGTATGACTGGGAGGCCTCAGGAAACTTACAATCATGGCAGAAGACAAAGGGGTAGCAAGCATGTCTTACCATGGTGGAGCAGCAGACAGAGAGAGAGCAAGGGGGGAAGTATCACACTTTTAAACCATCAGTTCTCTTGAGAACTCACTCATTGTCGCAAGAAGAGCATAAAAGAAATCTGCCCCCATGATGCAATCACCTCCCATCAGGTTCCTCCCCTGACACATGGGGATTACAATTCAACATGAGATTTGAGTGGTAACACAGAGCCAAACCACATCAAAATCCTAATCAAAATTACAGCAAACTGGTGTGTAAATATTGATATAGTAATTGCAAAGTTTGTATAAAAATGGAAACAATCTAGAACATCCAACACAATACTGAAGAAGAACTAAGTTGGAAGACTTACGCCACTTAATTTCAAGACCTACTCTAAGGCTACACTGTATTGACAAAAGAATAGGAAAATAGATCAATAAAAAAGTATAGGCATCCCATATACAGACCCACAAAAACATAGTCAATTGATCTTTGATAAAAACCAAAGGCAATTCAATGGAGTAAGGATAGTTTTTTAAACAATGGAGGCTGGAAGAATTGTACACCCATATGAAAGAAAAACAAAAACATGCACGCCAACCTTATACCTTACACAAATACACACGTACACACAAACACAACTCATGGAGGGTATGTCTAAAGGAAACAGGAAACAACTGAAAAAGCTCTAAATGGCTAAAGCTGGAACAATTTAAGCAACAAAATAAATAAAGTTATATTTGGTTATAACTGAAAGTATGAAATAGGTATTCATCAGTCCATAGTTATGTAAACCAGTGATTAAATAAATAAATATTTTGGGAAGAACACACATATATTCCAAGTAGAATTTCCAATAATTTAGGTAGATATTTCATGCATAGCAACTTTCTTCTAAAGAGTACAGTATGAAGATAGAGAGTAAGAGAAAAAAAAGTAACTTTGCAGTGGAGAGACCTGAAAAACACTAACACAATCCAGGAGATTCAGGTTAATATTAAATATGAGAAGTCATACTGATAATGATATGGGAGAGTTCCCTTATCCCCTTCCCTGGGCACGCAACAGAGATGTGGCTCACTTCTTCAGTGCCCTGCTGCTCAAACCCCTAGGGGGAGCATGCAGACGGGTGGGTGTAGAGGTCTTGGGGAGCGCTTTTGGGTTCCGACCCCACGGCAGTGTCTAGGATGAGTGTTTATGACTCCCGAAGCCGAAGTGGGTGTGTGTTACAGTGTGCTCTTTCAGCTTTGCCATTTTCAGACGGCTTGTGTGAGTCAGCTCAATTAGACCCTCTGCCTTATTGCAAGGGCAGAGGGCTTTGTGTATTCTGAGCTCTTGCTTGTGTACCAGAAAAATAGAAACACAGATGGGCTTGGAGGATGAGTGCAAGGTTTTATTGTTTTATTGAGTGTGGAGGTGGCTCTCAGTGAGGTGGATGATAAGCTGGAAGGGGGATGTTGTGAGAAGGCGGTCTTCTCCTGGAGCTGGGCTGCCCAGAGGCCAGACTGTTCTCTGACTGCCCCGAGCCGAAAGTCCCTCCGTGTCTGTGTTGTCCCACCGTCACTGGTCTGCTGGTGTCTGCTTGTGTGTTCCTCTGCTCCTCTAGATAGATGTCCAGCTGCTTGTATTTGCCTGCAAAGGTCTCGGTTTTTTATGGGCACAGGATGGGGAGTGTGCCGACCAGAGTGGTCTTGGAAAATGCAGCATTTGGGTGCAAAAACAGGAGTGCCTGTTCACACTTAGGTTCGTAGGCACAGGCCTGAGGGTGGAGCCCTTGCAAGGGACCGTACACTTCTTTGCCCAGCACTTCTCTGCCCTCCTCTCGTATCAATAGTATGTAAATGTGATGTGATAAGAATAGTGCTTTAACACCATGGTAGCAAAAAGGTATTACTTCAGTAAGATCACAAAGAAAACATCAGACAATTTTCAACTGAGGAACATGCTACGCAGTACCTGCCTATCCTCACAATGATGAAAGCCATAACAAAAAAAAAAGATAAGTCTGAAACATTGCCACAACCAAAGGAATCTAAGGAGACATGCATAACTACTAAATGTAATGTAGCATCCTAGATAGGATCTTGGAACCAGAAAGGGCAAATGAGAAAATGCATGAGTGAGGAAATACAAATAAAATATAGAGTCTAATTAATAATAATTTATCAGTATTGACTCATTAATAATTTATCAGTATTGACAAATGTACAATACTACATATTATGTTAATAATAGAAGAAATTGGGTGTGAGGTATATAGGAACTTTCTATACTGTATTCATAATTATTCTGTAAATGTTAAACTGTTCTAAAATAAAATAATTTGGCAGAGATATGCTTCTCTCCAATCCTCCATCTAAGCACAACTGTAAAAATAACACATGATACATCTAGAAACACGTAAGAGGAGAGCTCTGAATAATAGCAAGAAGGTGGAAAACTGCAGGGTTCCTTATATCCTCCCACTTAACAGAAAGAAGCATCCCAAGCCCAGCATTTCCTGATTTCCAACACAGCAGCAGTTGCCATCACAGGTAGTCTTATTCCTCTCCTAGAATAAAAGAGAGACCTATGATGTCAGGAAAGCCTGACAAGAGGAATTATTTTGAGCCCTGGTAACAAGAGGAGGCCAGCGAAAGTGTTCTCTTTCACTGTTGATCCTGACACTCCCCTCACCCATGAGAGATACTGAAATGAGCAGGCAGAACTGGCAAGAGATATCTGACCACAATGTGCTACCTGTTTCAGGAAGCCTCTTTGTACCCACAGTCCTCATACTCTTTTGCCTTCACTCAATGGGAAGCACTGAATGGCCAGGGACCACCAGTAACCCAGCCACAATAATGGTTCATCCAGGGTTGCCTCTAGGCCTGTTTATCCCAGCGTCTCTGAGAGTTCCCTTTTCTGCCCATAGGAATCCCTGCACAACAAATACCCTGGTCAAAAAGCAATTTCCATTTCTCACATTCAGAAGAGGCTCTGTCACAACAAGTACCTGGCAAGGAAAGCTTCTTTACATTACATGTTTGCCTGTGACTCCCTGACTCCTGGAGAGACATCCAGTAACTCAGCCTAGGGAAATCCCTTCTGTACCCTTAGTCAGTACCAGCAATAACCAGTAGCAGCCATAGTAGCACCATATAAGCCATCTAGCCTCAAATAACACCACAATGACTCTGAAAATCAAATCATCGATTAAATCACTGCTGACAAAAGTAATATGGAACATGCATATGAAATTTAGACAGAGTGAATTCTTGCTAAAATAAAAGATTTAAATAGGACATAGTCTCCCAACATAATAGACAAAATGTCCAGGACACAACAAAAGGATCAAACATTAAATCAAGAAGCAAGAAAATAAATGAAACTGATGCCAACACTGAGATAAATTAGATTTGAGAAATATCTGACAAGAATTGTAAAGCAGCTATCTTAAAAGTGCCTTAATAAGCACCTATAAATATAAATACTTTTTATATGAATATAAAAAATAACCAAATTAAAATTATAGAGGTATATTGCAGTAAGTTAAAGAAAAAAAAACTTGGTGAATTTTTTATGGTCGTAACAAATCTGACACGTGTGAGGTAATATTCCATAACAATTTTAATTTACATTTCCCTGATAATTACTGATGTTGAGCAATTTTTCATACATCTTTTGGCCATTTGTATGTCTTCTTTTGAGAAATGTCTATTCAGGTCTTTTGCTCATTTTTAAATACAGCTTTTTTTCTTGTTATTGAGTAGTTTGAGTCTCTATATATTTTGGATATTAGCTCCTTACCTGATGTATGATTTCCTAATGTTTTCTCCAAATCTGTGAGGTTTTTTATTCATTATGTTAGTTGTTTTTTCACCACATTGTACCCCATAAATATATACAATTATTTGACAGATAGAATAAAATAAAACTGAAGATAACTGGTAAACTGGAGAAGATAGATGGTAGGATCTGTCAACTTGTAGACAGATCAATAAAATTAAGTCAATCTGCACAATAGTGGAAATAGATTTAAAATATTAACAGAGCCCCAAATTCACATGGGACAATACCAGATGATGTAGTGTTCATATAATCAAAGTCCACAAAAGACAGGAGTAAGAGAGTGGAGCTCAAAGATAATTCAAAAAAATGATGCTTGAAAACTACCCAAGTTTGATGAAAGACATAAATGTACCTAATTAAGAATTTGAGTGAATCTGAAATAGTATAAATAAACCCAAAGAACTTTATGCCAAGACACATTTTAATTAAATTACTCAAAACTAAAAGCCAAGAAAATACCTTGGACGCAGACAGAAGGAAATGACATGGAAACTACAGGGGAACACTAAGTCAAATGACACTGGATAATTGAGGGCAAAAGGAAAAGGCACAACAATTTAAAGGGCTGAAAGAAATTCACTATCAATCACAAATGTCATATTTGGCAAATTATCCTCCAAGCATGAAGTGGAAATAAAGACATTGTCAAATGAAATAAAAATAATTTGTTGCTAACATACTTATCTTTAAATAACATTCACAAAAATTTCTTCTAACGGGAAGGAAATAATAAAAGAAGCAATCTTCAAGCAGAAGACCAGAACAAGAAACACAAAAGAAATAGCAGAAATAGGGGTACCAAAAAAAGTATTCATTTTGTTATGAATTTTATAAATTATATTTGATAATTGAAAAAAGACCATTTGATACTCAAGACTATGATATTTTAAATGGGGAAAGTGAATAGACCTTAATGGAAGTAAGATTCTTCTGCTTTGCTCAGTGTTAAAATGTTGCTCCCCGTAGGTTGTGATAAGTCACATAGGTGTACTATAATACCTAGAGCAATCACCATAAAAACACTACAAAACTGTTTACATTAGAAAACTAGATACGTCTCAGATCAATAATCTAAGTTACTGTCTCAAAATTCTAGAAATAAAGAGTAAAGTAAATCTACAGCAGGCATATATAAGTGTAATACAAATCTTACCAGAAACCAACGAAATTGGAAGCAGGAAAACAATAGAGAATAAATGAAACAAAAAGCTGGTTCTTTGATATTGTGATGTTGTGATATTGTGATATTGCATTATTATTTTGCAGAATATCACCATTGATGGGTAAATATGTACATGGCATACTGTGTATTTTTTCTTAAGTTGTATGTGATTATGTGTGAAATTACTATTACTGGATAAAATTTCAACTATAAAAGATACTCAGTAAAAACATATTTGAAACATAGGTAGGAGGCAATGACAAAAATATGCAGATACATAATATAAAAATTAAATAGCACTTTCAGGTCTGGCATGCAAAAAGCTTAGAAGTAATCACTCCCATCCTTACAAATAAAAACAAAAATAAGTGGAACTAACTAGAAATCAACAAATTTTCTTCAATTCATCAGAGTATTGATATCATAGTAGAAACCATTGCTCCCCAAATGGAAGAAACAGACATGCTGATATAGAGAATCACAGCTACCAAAGAAGCAGCCCCGGAGCAGAAAACTCCATAGGAACCAGTACCAAATAGAACAACCTGAATGTTAATTGAAGACTTGCTGGAGGCTCAATGTGGACAACCCTGCGTTAAAAAAACTTCAAAGGGGGCCAGTCTTTGCAATATCTACAGTTTGTTTATTTATTTATTTATTTATTTATTTATTTTTATTTTTTATTTTTTTAAGACGGAGTCTCGCTCTGTCTCCCAGGCTGGAGTGCAGTGGCGCAATCTCGGCTCACTGCAAGCTCCGCCTCCCGGGTTCACGCCATTCTCCTCCCTCAGCCTCCCGAGTAGCTGGGTCTACAGGCGCCCACCACCATGCCCGGCTAATTTTTTGTATTTTTAGTAGAGATGGAGTTTCACCGTGTTAACCAGGATGGTCTCGATCTCCTGACCTAGTGATCCGCCCGCCTCGGCCTCCCGAAGTGCAATATCTACAGTTTTGTGAGTTTACCTCCAGGAGCTGTACCAAGTTCTCACAATGAAGAGCCTAGAAAATTCTCCTCATGCTTCTGGTAGACAGAAAAAAAATTAATCATTTAAAAATATAATCAGAGCATTCTGTTCTTCTTAGAAATGCTGGCTATCAAGAGAAACTATTTACAAGAGGTTGACTAACTGCAGTTTTACCAGAGCCTAACTGACCTGAAAGAAGAAATATACACTCCAGCCACTCTCTAGTATTCTCTGTAGGGGAAGATAAATACCCATTTTCAGCCCCCTTTCATCATGCTGTCTCACCTAAATGACAAAACAAAACTTAGAACCAATTTGGAAGGTCACAGCCCAGGGACACAGGGTCACTAAAAAACTGACACAAAATCATAGGACTATAGAATGATTCCCCTCTCCTAATATCTTACTACTAAATAAATATGTCTCCTTCATAATAATAATAAAGGAGTTATTAAGAAATAACTTTTATGTAGCTAGGAAGGGTGGTTCTTGGTGGAATTTTCCTTTAATAAAAAGCAAGCCTTGAACCATTTCCTTTCTAACAGAAAGTGGCTTGAAAAACCAGAACAGCAAGCATTGATATGCAAATGCCAGCGGCTAGAAACCAGTTCCACCCAACATGGCGGTTCTCGCCCTCTTCTCTTGTCACCATGTGTGCCAGGTGTCATGGCCACCCCCAGATAACACCACGTGTGCAAGACATCATGGCAACCCACATTTGCATATTAAAAGGCTAGGGTGGGAGGGCCAATTTTTTCATGGGCTATGTGAATGACACACGGGTTCAAACCAATCCCCTGGGCCCTATGTAAATCAACATCGCCTCCTCCAGCCTCCCAATATAACCGACTGCTTTCCACCACACGCGGGGTTTATCCATTCAGAGCCTCTATCCCTCTGTATGGGGGAAGTGATTTTCTTCTTTCTTTCTTTGTTCTTGCCTATTAAACTTTCCGCTCCTTGAAAATCACTCCACGTACGTCATTTCATTATTCTTAGTGGTGTGAGACAAAGGACCCTAGTGTTTCTCCAGTCATTAGAGTCGTATTATTTTGGTGCATTGGCTGGAATCCAAGGTACAACATTCACTGGAGTGGTGAGTATAGAAGGGACCTTAAAAATCTGTTCTATCATTCTGAGGCACTCTTGGCTCCTAGTTTAAAATCAAAATCAAATCAATTAATGGGAATCCGTCAACTGGTTAAAAATACGCTTATCGTGGCTGCAGTTATAAAGACTTGGATGTCAGGTTTGCTAGTAAGAACATGGAGAACCCTCCATTACTCATGGGTCATTGGGAATGTTGGCCATGTTTTGACTCAGTTTCTTTTCCTGGGGAAACTTAGCCATTACATGAGGCTTGGAAAAGTACTGAAGCAACTGAATTGCTGGCCAGGGCATACCCTGGTGCTATTCAAAGGCTTCTGTACTGCACCCAGCCTCAGTCAGTCTGCTCCGGGTGTTGGTTAAGAATTCCCAGCTATCTTGTCACAAAACTTTCCTTCTTTTTCTATCCACAGTCTCTTACTCTCTCTGTGTGTCGAATATGTGGGAATTTTTACAGTCTAGGGAAGTAATCCTGTTAGTCAAGATCAGGAAATTCTGTAGTAACCAGGGATATAGCTTAGGCAAATGCTGTTGCAATCTTGTAGGAACAGAGACCTCCCGTTTCCCCCACAGTGTGGCTACTCGCTAATAGTCAGCTTGTGATTACATGGTATTTCTAAGCCAACATCACCACCTCGTGAAAAATAGAAATCCTCTTCGTAAGACTCATGTGCTGGTTTTCTGCGGTACATTGCAGCCTTCCAATTTTTCCTTTTTATGCCTTTCTACCGGAAACCAGGTTTTATGCTGCTTCTGTGAACAAGGAAAATTCTGCTTTCAACTATTAGGAATAAAACGTCCTCTGCAGCCAAATTTTAGTCCCAACACTGTCCCATCAGCAGGAAAGTCGTCATTAGGTCCCAGTGTCCCTTTAAGGCACCTATTCTCTCTCTGATTAAGATAGTACTTAATCAGTAAGGGGATTTTAAGTACAGAAGTTAACCAGAACCATTTTTCTAAGGGTAAATTCTTTAGAACGGGCCATAATAGCAGGCACTCTAGCAAATTCCCTCCATTAAAGGAGGCTAGTCTTTTATATAGTCTTTCCCAAGATCCATTTTTTGAGAGAACCAGGCAGATCACATAGGTTTAGTAAGCCAAAGGGGAATCACACAGGACAAATAAGCTAAGGTTGCACGGGTAAAGCGTGATGAGTCCCATCACCTAGTTCATCCAGTTCTATGGCTTGGAGGGTCCCGCTTACAACCATGGGTACCACATTTAACAGGCTGCCGGGACCCAGGAACCAGGGAGGGAAAACAGTCAGGAGGACGCTTCCACTGTCTTCTTCTCCACCCTGGGTTACACAGAAAGGAAGGAGACTAAAAGGATGCTTTTATTCTTGCTTCTCTTTCTAGATGGGTAACAGATTATCTTCAGCTTGTACCCCTCTGGAGTGCACCCTGAAACACTGGAACTTCTTTGACCTCAGGACATTGAAGAGAAAACCAACTCATTTTCTTTTGCACATGGGCATGGCATTTTTACTAAACCTTTGGAAGCACTGTAAGAGCAACCCAGTTCTTTTAGCAGCCATAGCAGGCAAGCCCACAGGGAATAGTTTCCCAGAGCTAAAGCAGATTTTATAGGAGCAATCTGAGACAGCTATTGAATGTCCCAACCCTTCCAGTTACCCTCATTTAGAACTCCATCCAATTGTACCATCAGTTCCTCCAGCTCCACCATCCTCCGTTATTACCCACTTTCCCCACTTCACCCTTACCTCTACAGGAAATGCCTGATGGAAATGGTGCAATGAGGGTTCAAGTTCCCTTCTCAAATAGGACCCTAGGCAAATAAAGGGAAACTTAGGCTGATTTTCTGATGACCCTGATAGGTATATAGAAACTTTTCACAATTCAACTCAGGTATTTCACCTCACATGGAAAGGTGTTATGCTGCTCCCAAACCAAACCCTCACTGCAGCTGAAAAGTGGGCAGCTCTGCAAATAGCAGATAATTTTGGAGATGAGCAATATATCACCTATAACAAACCAAAAGAGAAGTAAGAAGAAAGGGAGAGTGAAGAAATAGCAGAAACACCATTCTCAATTGAAAGGAAAGCAGTTCCCCCTTGACAAACTTGATTGTGACCCCAATAGCTCTGCAGATGAATGGAAAAGGAAGCACTTTTTAACATGCATTTTAGAGGGCCTACAAAGAACTAACACTAGACATCTCAATTACTCTAAACTGTCTATGATAAACCAAAAGCCAGAAGAGAATCCTGCAGCCTTTATGGAAAGGCTGAGAGAGGCACTAATAAAACACACCTCTTTATCCCCTGATTCAGTCAAGGGACAGCTCATCCTCAAGGACAAGTTTATTACACAGGCAGCTCCCAATATTAGAAGGAAACTATAGAAGCAAGCTACAGGACCAGAGAACCTTCTGAAGGTGGCCACTTTGGTCTTGTATAATAGGGACCAGGAGGAGACCCAGAAGAAAAAGAGAAAGGTCAGGAAAAGGATAGAGGCTCTAGTAGCGGCTTTATAGGCTTGCAAAGTCCACAATCTTCTAGGTGCATCTGTTAGTTGCTATCAGTGTGGCAGGCCAGGGCATTTTAAGAAGGAATGCCCAGGCAGCAAGTAGAAGCCACCTCAACCCTATCCAGCCTTTAGAAGAGACCACCAGAGATGAAACTGCCCCAAAAGACAGAGGTCACTGGGTTCAGAACCAGTCTCACAGATGGTCCAGCAGGAATGATGGGTCCCAGGGCTCAAACCCCCGGCTCCAGCAACTCAGACTGCCGTTACAGCCCAGGACCCCGGGTGATTCTGGAAATTGAAGGAAGGAGAGTAGACCTCCTTCTAAACACTAGAGCCAGTCTCTCTCTTTTCTCCTAATCCAGGCCTCCCCTCTTTCCATAGCATGACCGTAAGGCGTATCTCAGGAAAAACTCTAATCCAACATTTTTCTCAACCTTAGTTGCAGTTAGGAAGAACTATTGTTTACACATGCTTCCAAGCCATTGTCATGAGTCAGAAAAGCCTCCAAATTAACCCAAGGAAATAATTTAACTGTTTACACTCCACATATGTGGCAGGATCACTGCCCTCTAGGGGGAGCTCTTAGCTAACAAACAGCCAGTAAAGCAAGAAGTACATAAGGCAGGATAAGCAGTAGTCACTCTAAATAACATTTCATCTCAGACACAAGGGCTCAATTAGCTGAACTACTAGCTCTTACAAGAGCACTTGAATTAAGCAAGGGAAAGATAGCTAACATTTATACTAACTCCAAGTATGCTTTCTTAGCTTTCTATGCTCATGCTGCCATTTAAAAGAAAAGACATTCTCTTACCACTACTGGATGTCCTATAAAATAGCACCGGGAAATGTGGTATTAGTGAAAATCTCACATCCCTCCTTCCCTATGTCAAGCTGGCAAGGGCCTTGCATTGTTCTTCTTTCAATCCCCTCGGCAGTAAAGTTACAGGAATCAACTCCTGAATACATTTCACTCAAGTCAAGGCCTGAAGAGCTGGGGGAGCAATCCCTGACAGCACAGAGGAATGTCCTCAATATCAATGGGGAGAAACAGAAGATCTTAAGCTGAAAAGCATAAAAGATAAGTAACTGAGTGAGGACCACTCATCTTACTCAGTCCCACTACTGCCTCACCAGATAATTTTTATTATTTCTGGCCTTTCCTCTCAAAATTTGCCACCAAATATTAGAACTTCTTTTTAATGCATATTGGCAGGCAGATTTTAATTATTCATAGAATTGCATTTGTAATTTTGTACATCCCTAAAGGGAAATATTATATCTTGGCAAGTAAAGTTTTAAATGGAAATTATTTACTACACCACTCTTGTGGGAATTATTATAGTCACGCTACTATTTGCAATAGAACTATACACTCTGGCCACACAATGTGGAATTCTGGTTGTAAAATTCTAATTGCTGTAATATTTTGCCTAATTATCATCCTTATAACAAGATTAATAATTGCAGAAAAGATTAACCAAAGTTGTTTTGCTTATAGCAGGAATAATAGCTGTGGATAAGAAGTAAGCATGAAAGTTTTACTATCATTAAGTTTGATAGGACATTTTATTGAAGATTGGTAATATGGTGCACTGTAAGCTATGAAAAGGTTATGAAAAAAGAGATTTTATATAAGGAAAGATTTTGTATGGTAAATTCTTGTCCTAAAAGGAAATGATTGGTTGTTTAAAGGAAAGATGTTTAGGACAAGTAAGAAAGTTTAAGTATGTTGTAAGAGGGTCTGTGAAAATCATGAAATAATTTAATAATTCAAGGAAAGAACTGTCAAGATTAACACTAAAGTTATTTTAGCCACCCAATAACATATTTCTCACAATCATATTGCAAGTTATAAAAAATAGCCTAAGCCTAAAATTGTTCTCTAATGGCAGGTCAAGGGGGAAATGTATGCTTTTCTCAAGGAAAATGTTACTTTTATATTAAAGTTTCTGCTAATGTACAGCTCCATCTAGTGGAGGAAAACCGGTATTACAATCCATTGGTGTAACTAACAGGTATCACACTCTACTGTCATAGTTATGGTCTATAGTACCCCCCACTAATAGTGGTAATCTTAATACTCATATGCTAACTGTATATTTTAAATTTCCTTGTAAAATTTATTTCTTTTTGCCAAGAAGCAATCAAACTCCAAATGGTGCTGCAAACCAAACCACGCATGGACACACCATTCTTCTGAGAACCATTAGATCAACCTCAGTAGGAGGCCCAAATGCTGTTCCCCCACACAACACCCCTTTTCAGCAGGAAATAGCCAGAAAGAATTGTCATCCAACACCCCCTATCAGCAGTTAGGTTTACTTCTCCAGAGGGGGGAAATAATACAGGAGTTAAGAAATAATTTTTAGGCAGCTTGAAAGTGTGGAGGTTATCAGTGGAATTTTTCTTTAATAAAAAGCAACCTCTGAACAATTTCCGTTCTAACAGAAAGTGGCTTGAACAACCAGACCAGCAAGCATTAATGTTCACATACCGATAGCTAGAAGCCAGATCCACCCAACATGGCGGTTCCTTCCCTCTTCTCCTTGTCACCATGTGTGACAAGTGTCACGGCTATCTGAAGATAACACCATGTGTGCAGGACATTATGGTGATCCACATTTGCATCTTAAAAGGCTAGGGTAGGAGGACCAGTTTTTTCCCGGCTACATGAATGACACACCTGGTCAAACCAATCCCCTGGGCCCTATGCAAATCAAACACTGCCTCTTCCAGACTCCCAATATAACCTACTGCTTTCCACTGCACATGTGGTATCTTCATTTGGAGCCTCCCTCCCTCTGTACAGGGAAGCTGTTTTTCTTCTTTCTTTCTTCTTTCTTGCTTATTAAACTTTCTGCTCTTTAACACTGTTGTGGGAATCAGGAGACCAGAGAGACGCATGGGTGGAACAGGAGGATTTTATTTAGGTGGCCACCAGCTCGGCAGATTAATATGCAGAGGCTGAGCAACAAATGAAGTCAGGGCTTGACTTTTATTCATACAACCAAAGTGGAGGTGGCTTGCCAGTGGCGTGAAACTTGCAGGGCAGGGAAAGCAAGCTTACAGAAGCAGAACAAAGGCAGTCATAGTTATGGTCTGTAATCAAACTTAATCAAACTGTGACAGGTTCCTAACTCAGGCTTACATGTGACTCTTGCTATGCAGGCCAGGTGGCTGTTATCTAGGTTTGCTCAAGATGCCTGCACAGCCTTATCTTGAGTCCTTAGCTATGGCACCCAGAGGGCTGCAATCTAAGCTTGCTCAAGCATGTCTCATGACCTCAGCGGTGCTACTCAGATGAAAAAACAGAGACTTACAGACACCAGTTACAGAAAACAGGAAACCATAAACTCATAAAAACTTGCAGAGCAGGGTACAATCGCACGGAAGGGGGAGGGATTCGAGGGGAAAGCTGCTCATACCAAAGGAAAGAGGGAACATTTGTTTTTCCTCTCACATCTCCTGCTTCATCACCACTTGATGTGTGTCCATGTTGTTGATCTTATTGGCATGAGACAAAGGACCCTGGTGTTTCTCAAGTCATCAGAGTTGTATCAATAAGATGGGAATGCTACTGTAACTACTGCACATTTCTAAGAAGTATTTAGGAAAATCCAAACACAAAAGGGAAACAAACAGTAAAAAAAGCAACAGAGGAAATTTTAGCCTCTGAACCCTGTAACTACAGCAAACAGTTAAGATAGCCTAACCCCTAGACAGGTATGTAAAACCTCACACTGAAAACCAATACAGTTTTGTTTATTTGTTTGTTTACCCTGTACATCATGTACAACTTTAAACAAAAATTACAACACATACTAAAACACAAACACAGTTTGAACAGACAAAGCCAGTATCAGAATCAGATATGGCAGAGATAGTAAAATTATCAAATCAAAAATTTAAAACAACTATGATTAATATGCTAAGGGCTCTGAAAGAGTGAATAACATATAAAACACATAAGTAATATAAGCAGATAGTAAAAACTATACAAATTAATTTTTTTAAAATGCAAGAAATGAAAATCGAATAGAAATTAGAAGTGATTTTGATGATTTGATGGTCTTATCAACAGTTTGGATATCACCAAGATAAGAATAAGTAAGTTGTAAAAAAAAAGTCAGTAGAAACTTTCAAAAATAAAATGCAAAAAAAAAAAAAAAGTAATTAAAAAGCCAGGACAGAATATACAAGAACTCTAGGACAATTTTTAAAAAGGTATAATATATGTATAATGGGAATATGAGTGGAAGAAAAAGATAAGGGACAGGAGATATAACTGAAGCAATGAGTGAGAATTTTCAAAAACAAAAAAAGAGAAGAAAATGAAACTAAACTACAGATAGCTCTAGGAGGCTTAGCAAACACCAGGAAGATAAAAGAAACCAACAAGAAGAAAAAAAAAGAAAGAAATTCTAGCTGTAGGCATGTCATATTTAAACTGCAGATATCAGACAAGGAAAAACATCTTGACAGAAGGCACGGGAAAAAATATATCTTACAGAGAAAGAAGGATAAGAATTAAATATTACGGCTGGCCTCGGTGGCTCACGCCTGTAATCTCAGCACTTTGGGAGGCTGAGGCGGGCAGATCACGAGGTCAGGAGATCAAGACCATCATGGCTAACACAGTGAAACCCCGTCTCTACTAAAAATACAAAAAATTAGCTGGGTGTGGTGGTGGGCGCCTGTAGTCCCAGCTACTCGGGAGGCTGAGGCAGGAGAATGGCGTGAACCTGGGAGGCAGAGCTTGCAGTGAGCCGAGATTGCACCACTGCACTCCAGCCTGGGCGACAGAGCAAGACTCTGTCTCAAAAAAAAAAAAAAAAAATTAAATATTACTTATTTTCAGATACCATGCAAACAAGGATAAAATGGTGTGAAATATTTAAGTAGTTGAGATAAAATAATTGTGAAAGGAAAATATATTGGGCCCCTTCAAGCTGGGAACCCCTCAGGGCAAATATGCCTCCCATTCTATTCAAAGTCATCCCTCTGCTCACAAAGATAGATTCATATTGTGGTTGCTTCCCTTGGAAAGACTTATCAGAAACTCAAAAGAATACAACCATCTGCCTCTCACCTACCTGTAACCTGGAAGCCCCCAGTTGGGGGACCTTAACTTGAGTTGTCTCCACCTTTCTGGACAGAACTAATGTACTTCTTACACATATTGATTGATGTCTCATGTCTCCCTAAAATGTATAAAACCAAGCTGTGCCTTGACCACCTTAGGCACACGTCATCAGGAATTCCTGAGACTGTATCACAGGTGCATCCTCAACCTTGACAAAATAAACTTGCTAAATTAACTGAGACGTGTCTCAAATTTTCGGGATTCACATAATCATCAACCAGGAATTCTAATTTCAGCAAAAATTATCCTTCAGAAATCTAAAAAGAAATAAAGATGTTTTAGATAAACAATAATTAGAAGAATTTTTTGCCTAAAGATCTGCCTTGTAAGACACGTTAAAAAAATTAGAAAGAAAAATTGATATAGATCAAAAACTTAAATCTACATAAAAGGAAGAAAGAGCATTAGCAAAGGAATAATTGAAGGTAAAATAAAATCTTTCATCTTTCTCATTCTTAATGTATCTAATGGATAAGTGTTTGACCACAATAATAATAGCAATGATGGCATTGGTGATTATAGCTTATGGACAAGAAAATTTTATAGCAGTAATGTTACAAAAGATGAGAGGAAGGAATTGGGAATATGCTACTATAAAATACTTGCATTATCTGGGAGGTGGTATTGTGTTCATTGAAAGTGGGCTTCGATTAGTTGTAAATTTTTATAGCAATCACAAAGGCAACCACTAGAAAAAGTTTTATAGAAAGTATAGTAAATACGCTAAGAGAAAAAAATTACATTATATAAGATCTTAAATGAAAACCAAAGAAGGGAGAAAAAGAATGAAATATAAAACAAAGAAAGAGGCCAATAAGAAGAGGAACAAATATAATGCATATTAATTCAACTATGTTAATAAGCATTTTTAATGTCAATGATCTAAATACACTAATTAAAAATAGAGACTGTCAATAAATAGAGAAGAGAGAATGTATTCTAACTAATTTTATGAGGAAAGCATTATGCTAATGCCTAAACCACACACAAATATTACAATAAAGGAAAGCTACAGGCCAATATCTCCCATGAACATAATACAAAAATCTTTAACAAAATATTAGCAAATTAAATCCAACAATTATAAACAGAAGTATACACCAGTGGAATTGATTCCTAGTATTTAAGGCTGGGTCAATACATAAACCAAATATAAAATTCAAATTCCCCCTAATCATCTGAATGAACCTCCTCTTCTAGAACAGGGCCCCCCAAATGTAACCTCCAAGACTGGTTCAGGCTATGATGGGAAGTGGAAGTCAGACATGCTTCAGTATTTCTTCCTCCCTTTGGGAATTCAGAAAAAGCAGAAGAGCATTTAACACCAACACAGACCTTGAGTCTGATAAGAAACATTTACAATCTATGCTCTCTGAAGCCTGCTACCTGGAGGCTCCCTCTGCATAATAAAACTTTGGTCTCCACCACCTCTTGTCATAACCCAGACATTCGTTTCTATTGGTAATAGCTCTTTCAACCAATTGCCACTCAGAAAATTTTTAAATTTCCCTATAAACCTGGAAGCCCCCACTTTGAGTTGTTGAGCCTTTCTAGACCAAACCAATGTATATTTTGAATGTATTTGATTGATGTCTCATGTTTTCCTTAAGTGTATAAAACCAAGCTGCACTGTGGCCGCTTTGGGCACATATTCTCAGGGTCTCCTAAGGGCTGTGTCATAGGCCATGGTCACTCATATTCAGCTCAGAATAAATCTTTTCACATATTTTACAGATTTTGACTCTTTTTGTTGACAATAATGTGGTGCCCAAACATGTGGGGCCTCAGAAAAGACTCAGGACCATGAAGTTGCCTGAACCTGGAGTTAAGGTACCAGCTGGAACCCACTGAAAGCCTCCCTTGACTTAGAGCTTCTTCTCTGGTAGAACTGGTAAGTCCTCCTGAGCCCCAGACCTCCCTTTGGTTGATGGTCCTTGACTTATTTTGAGCAGTTTATTTATTTATTGTTATGTATTTATTTATTCCTAGAAAGCTGTTGTTTAGATTCCTAATACTAGTTTGGAGGTGTATTCTAAATGGCCTTCTCCATTGCCTTTTTCTAAAAACAACGAGAACACGCCACTTTCAGGCACCCCGGTGCTAGTTCAGAAGTGCGTTCTAAAGGGTCATCTCCATTGTTTTTTCTCCCCAAATTAATCTCAATTTGGTTTGCTTGTGCATTTGCATGAGAAACTGAACTCTTGTATTCATAGATAAATGAGAGACTGAGTTTTCTCAGTTCTGAAGAGAAAGGGCATTTTACTCCTCTCAGCTGAAAGGCACTCCTAGGTGACCAGTCATTGAGTGAGAGTGTTTGAGGGGTTGACCCCTTGTAACCTGTAGCAACCCGAGAGGGAACCCCTAACAAAATTAGTTTCAGAAGGCTAATCCAGGAGATACATATAGGAGGTGGTCATTCCATTCTTTGTGTCCTCCTGGAGGTGTTAGACCTCTGGAGGGAGAAACTGAGGCACATAAAAGGGCAGAAATGACTCAGTGGTGACACACTATAGAGTTCCACCCACAATCAGCACATTTTGACACACTACACTAAAGCCTAGGCCACAGTCCAGTGTCTCCATTAAAATAAGTAGTGGGAAACAAATAATCTAAGAATGAGGAAAACACAAAGAGAATGACCCATTTTCAGAAAAACAATTTGTTTGACGGCACCTCTACTTGCAAGTATTGGTGTAAAACCGACATATTATGCTATTTTTGTGCACACTTACATGAGGAAAAAAGAGCCTAAAAGTCGATGTTCAAACTATAGAATTCCTAAATTCTCTATTTCCCTATTTTCTTTTCTTCCTGCTTTAAATCTGCTGTTACTTTTCTACTAACATAAAAACCAGTGTTGGGTAGGGTTCTGAAGTAAAATGTATAGAATCTTTATGTGTGTGTATGTGTGTGTGTGCATGTGTATATATATTCATGCATACACACATATATATGATACACACACACAAGAGGCCTTTATATATTTTTTTTCCAGGACTTTGTTCTTTTTGAGAAATTTTTTTTTTCTTCTTAGTTTACTGAATTCTGTTTTCTCAACTTACTTCTGCTTGTCTCTCCTATCTCTTGTCACCCTCTGCTTCATGAGGGATATAAAATAGTTTCTAACAGCCTGGGATTCCTTAAAGAAAACAGAGAAGGTGCCAGACTGGTACCCATGGCTGAGAAACCTGAAGATGGTTCACATCACAGAACTCTGTGAAGACACCTCACAGTACCAGCCCAGAGCCTGGTAGCCCTGCTGGCTGGCTAGATCCAGAAAAGAAAAAAACAATTGTTACAGTTCAGCTCTCAGGAAGCCACATCCCTAGTAAAAGTGGGAGAGCACTACATCAAGGGAGCACATTATGGGACAAAAAATTCTGAACAGTAGCCTTGAGCCCCAGATCTTCCCTCTGACATAACCTATCCAAATGAGAAGGAACCAGAAAAAAATTCTTGTAATATGACAAAACAAGGTCCTTTAACACCCCCAAAAAATCACACTAGCTCACCAGCAATGGATCCAAACCCAGAAGAAATCCCTGAATTGCCAGTAAAAGAATTCAGAAGATTGATTATTAAGCTAATCAAAGAGACACCAGAGAAAGGTGAAGTCTAACTTAAGGAAATCAAAAAATGATGTAAGATATGAGAGGAAAAATCTTCAGTGAAATAGATAGCATACATTAAAAACAATAAAAACTTCAGGAAATAAAGGGCACACTTAGAGAAATGCAGAATATACTGGAAAGTCTCAGCAATAGAATCAAATAAGCAGACAAAAGAATTTCAGAGATCAAAGACAAGGTTTTCAAAAGAACCCAATCAAAGATATTTTTTTAAAAAAATTAACAAAGCTTCCAGTAATTTTGGGATTCTGTTAAATGACCAAACATAAGAATAATTGAGGTTCTGGAGGAAGAAGAGAAATCTAAAATTTGGAAAACATATTTGAAGGAATAATCAATAAAACTTCCCGGGCCTTGCTAGAGATCTAGACATCCAAATACATGTAGCTCAAAGAACACCTGGGAAATTTATCACAAAAAGATCATCACCTAGGCACATAGTCATCAGGTTATCTAAAGTCAAGACAAAGGAAAGAATATTAAGAGCCATGAGGCAAAAGCACCGGGTAAATGTAAATAATATATTAAATATATTTAATAAATAAATACATATAATTAATATATAATTATATGTTAAATAAAGTAAATATATATTTACTGGTACATATTTATTAATAAGTATATACATAAATCAATATTTCTTTATCTCAGACCACAGTGGAATAAAATTGGAAATCAACTCCAAAAGGAACCTTCAAAATCATACAAATACATGAAAATTAAATAACCTGCTGATAAGGATCATTGCGTCAACAAGGAAATCAAGATGGAAATTGAAAAATTCTTTGAACTGAATGATAATAGTGACAAAACCTATCAAAAACTCTGGGATACAGCAATGGCAGTGATAAGAGGAAAGTTCATAGCCTTAAATTGCCTATATCAAAAAGTCTGGAAGAGCACGAATGGACAATCTAAGGTCACACCACAAGGAACTACAGAAACAAGAACAAACCAAACCCAGCAGAAAAAAAAGAAATAACCAAGATTGGAGCAGAACTTAAATAAAATTGGAACAAAAAATACAAAAGATAAATGAAACAAAAAGCTGTTTTTTTGAAAGGATATATAAAATTGATAGATCATTAGCAAGATTAACCAAGAAGAGAGAATATCCAAATAAGCTCAATTAGAAACAAAATGGGAGATATTACAACCAACAGCACAAAAATACAAAAGATTATTCAAGGCTACTATGAAAACCTTTACATGCATAAACTAGAAAACCTAGAGGAGATGGATAAATTCCTGGAAATACACAATCCTCCTAGCTTAAATCGGGAAGAATTAGAAACCCTGAACAGACAATAACAAGCAGTGAGATTGACATGGTAATACAAAAATTGCCAACAAAACATAGTCCAGGACCAGATGGATACACAGCTGAGTTCTACCAGACATTCAAAGAAGAATTGGTACCAATCCTATTGACGCTATTCCACAAAATAGAGAAAGTGGAAATCATTCTATGAAGCCAGCATCTCCCTAATACCAACAGCAGGAAAACACAAAATGAAAAGAGAAAAATACAGACCAAAATATCTGATGAACATATATGCAAAAATCCTCAACAAAATGCTAGCTAACCAAATCCAACAGCATTTTAAAAAGATAATACATCATGATCAAGTGAATTTCATACCAGTGATGGAGACATGGTTTAACATATGCAAGTCAATAAATGTGATACATCACATAAACAAAATTTCTTTTAAAAAAATCACGTAATCAACTAAATAGACAAAGAGAAAGCATTTGATAGAATCCAGCATCCCTTTAAGATTAAAACCCTCAGCAAAATCAGCATACAAGGGACATACCTTAAAGTAATGAAAGCCATTTATGACAAACCCACAACCAACATAATACTGAAGAGAGAAAATTTGAAAGCATTACCTCTGAGGAATGGAACAAGACAAGGATGTCCACTCTCACCACTTCTAGTCAACATATTACTGGAAATACTAGCCAGAGCTATCAGACAAGAGAAAATAATAAAGAGCATCCAAACCACTAAAGAGGAAGTCAAACAGTCACTGTGTACTGATGATATGATCATATACCTTAGAAAACACAAAAGAAGCCCCTCCACAAAGATTCTAGAACTGTTAAATGAATTCAGCAAAGTTTCAGAATAAAGATTTATGTACACAAATCAGTAGCTCTGCTACACATCAACAGCAACCAAGCTGAGAATCAAATCAAGAACACAATCTCTTTTACAATAGCTGCAAAAAATAAAATAAAATAAAATAAAATAAAATAAAATAAAATAAAATAAAATAAAATACCTAAGAATATACGTAACCAAGGAGGTGAAAGACCTCTATAAGGAAAACTACAAAACACTGCTGAAAGAAATCATACTAGACACAAACAAATGGAAACACACCCAGGCTCACAGATGGATAGAATCAATATTGTCAAAATGACCATACTGCCAAAAGTAATCTACAAATTCAATGCAATTTCCATCAAAATACAACCATCATTCTTCACAGAACTAGAAAAAACAATTCTAAAATTCATATGGAATGAAAACAGAACCCACATAGCCAAAACTAAGCAAAAGGAACAAATCTGGAGGCATCACATTACCTGACTTGAAACTATACTACAAGCCCATAGTCACTAAAACAGCATGGTACTGGCATGAAAATAGACACATAAACCAATGGAACAGAATAGAAACCCAGAAATAAAGCTAAATGCTTACAGCCAACTGATCTTTGACAAAGCAAACAAAAACATAAAGTGGGGAAAGGACACCCTATTCAACAAACGATGCTGGGATCATTGGCAAGCCACATTTAGGAGAATGAAACTGGATCGTCATCTCTCATCTTATACAAAAATCAACTCAAGCTAGATCAAGGACTTAAATATAAAACCTGAAACCATAACAATTCGAGAAGATAACATCAGAAAAACCCTTCTAGACATTGGCTTAGGCAAAGACTTCATGAACAAGAAACCAAAAGCAAATGCAACAAAAACAAAGATAAATAGGTGAAACTTAATTAAACTAAAGAGCTTCTGCACAGCAAAAGGAACATTCAGCAGAGTAAACAGACAACCCACAGAGTGGAAGAAAATCTTCACAATCTGTACATCTGACAAAGGACTAATATCCAGAATCTACAAGGAATTCAAACAAATTAATAAGAATAAACAAGCAATCCCATCAAAAAGTGAAAATAGACAATTCTCAAAAAAAGATATACAAATGGCCAACAAACATATGAAAAAATGCTCAACATCACTAATAATTAGGGAAATGCAAATCAAAACCACAATGCAATTCCACCTTACTCCTGCAAGTATGGCCATAATAAAAAAATAATAGATGTTGGTGTGGATGTGGTGGAAAGGGAACACTTCTACAATGCTGGTCAGAATGTAAACTAGTACAACCACTATGAAAAACAGTGAGGAGATTCCTTAAAGAACTAACAGTAGACCTACCATTTGATTCAGCAATCAAACTACTGGGTATCTACCCAGAAGAAAAGGTCATTATACGAAAAAGATACTTAGACATGCATGTTTATAGAAGCACAATTTGCAGTTGCGAAAATATAGAACCAGCCCAAATGCCCATCCATCAACCAGTGGTTAAAGAAATTACTACTCAGCCATAAAAGGAACAAATTAATGGCATTCGCAGCAACCTGGATGGAACTGGAGACTATTATTCCAGGTGAAGTAACTCAGGAATGGGAAACCAAACATCATATGTTCTCACTCATAAGTGGGAGCTAAGTTATGAGAATTCAAAGGCATAAGAATGATACAATGAACTTTGGGGACTGAGGGGAAAGGGTGGGAAGGGGATGAGAGATAAAAGACTACCAATTGGGTTCAGTGTATACTGCTCGGGTGATAGGTGCACCAAAATCTCACAAATCACCACTAAAGAACTTACTCATGTAACCAAATGCCACCTATTTCCCTAAAGACTATAGAACAAAAAATTTGAAAAAAACTTGATAAAAAAGAAATGAGCAAGATTGACTTGTGTAGTAAATTATACATAACATAAAATTTTCTTTTTAATCATTTTCAGGTATATGGTTCAGTGATGTTAAGTGCATTCAAATTGTTGTGCTATCAATACCACCATCCATTTCCAGAACTCTTTCGTTTTTCCAAACTGAAACTCTCTGCCCATAAAATAATGACTCCACATATGTCCCATCCCTAATCATTTTGCAAACATCATTCAACTTTCTATCTTTAGAAATTTGACTAATCTGGGTACCTCAAATAATTAGAATCATACAGTATTTGTCCTTTTGTTATTAGCTTATTTCATTTAGCATAATATGTTTTCAGTGTTTACACAAGTTGAAGCATGTCTCAGAATTTCCTTTATTTTTTAAGACATTATTTCATACCACATTTTGTTCATCCATTCATCTTTCAATGGACATTTCTATTGTTTCCACCTTTTTGGCTATTGTGAATATCGTTGTTGTGAACATTAGTTTATTAAGATTTGTTTACATACTTGATTTAAATTCCTTTGGTTGTATATGCACAAGTGGAATTGCTGAATTGTATAAGTGTCTGTTTAATTTTTGGAGAAACATTGTGTTATTGAATATTATAATATTTTTGAATATTATAAAGCTTCATGAAAACTATTTAATATTTAATGAAACATAAATAATGTGTTAGAATAGATAAAAGTGGAAGCTAAAATTTTGTTTCATAAAAGGGCCTTTTAAGTCAGTGGTGAAAGATATGTTAGTCAATAAATAGTGTCAGAACATAAATTATTTTTGTAACAAAGAAGGACTTCTATTTCATCATTCAGATTGAAATAAATGCCAGTTTAAGAAAATGTTTTAATGAGACATTTGGCATCTTTTGATAATGTTACACAAACACACAAGTGAACTTTAGAATAATCTATGAGGAAATTCCTTTCTAGGAATACAAGGTACATATTATCAATGTTCACTAATATCTGAATGTAGTCTTCTGTTTACACAGTTTGGTTGCACTTCCTTAATCTCTTGAATTTAGGTGAGACCACAAAAATTATTTCAACAAGCATATGTGAATAGAAACAATTATAAAGGCAAAACTCTCCTTTTACCACTATGGTTGGTGATATTGTAAATGGTGGAAGCTCGTTCTGCCTGGGATTTAGAATTGACATGTGTATTAAGTAATAAATGACACTTTGTCGTTTGACCCAATGAAATTCGGAGCTTAGCACTTTATTATCACCTGGCCTATGCTGACTAATAACCACTTGACATGTAACAGGAACAATCAAGAAACAGTGCTGATCAATTTAATGCTTACAATTAAATCATTTTTCACATGTATAGTCATAAAGAAATCACAACAACTAATACAAACAGAATAAAGTGTGTTTGCTGCATTTTTGCTAAAAAAACCAGCTTTCATTATTCAATAAGAAAAAAATAGAAACTTGAACAAAGACATAAATGACCAATTGGCATGTATCAATATTTAATGTCATTAACAATTCAAAAAATCAACTTTGGGGTAACTATGGAAGTCTATACTTTACTAAAAAGATTGACAAAGAATAAGGAGTTTACTGGAAAAATACCAGAGTATTCATCTACTGTTGATGCACTCTTATAGCGTAAGATGTGAATATATCTGTCAAATTTTATGAGGTCCTTTCCTTGACAAACCAAATTTACATCTAAGAATAAATGTTATCGCGCTAGTCACAAAAATACAGACAGGCACATGCTCACCAGGTGGGCTTTGACAAAGTAATGGTATAGGGATAGGACAGAGTGATGTATCATCATCAGACTACATAAGGCCTCATATCTATGCTAATATGGAAAAATCTCCAAGAAACATTTTTAAGAAGAAGAAATTCTCATAATTTGGTGGCCTACATAGCATCCACTCTCTCAAAAATAGTGAGGTATTTTCTAAAATTAAATGCATAGCTGAGCTTATGAGAAATAAAGGAAATTCTTAGTGACCAGAAAAAAATAAGGGACCTGAAAACCAAATAAGCTAGTGACTTGACACCTTGGATAATGGGAATATGGGGAAGGGGAATATCAAAAACTAAGACCTCCTGTTACAATTTCAGCAGTGGGATGGGAGATAAGGTTTTGTACCCATATGAAGTGGAGAATCAACACACGTTCCATTGTACAATGTTGAATCTCATAAAGTATTATATTTCCAGTAAAGAGTGAAAAGAGTGAACCATGGAGGAAAAAAAATCAACCATTAGCCACATGAAGGGAACAAAGAATCTCCTCTCTGATTCTGAATATGAGAAGAACAAATTTTCGACTGGGAATTTATAATACATTTAAGCCACATATGAGTCTTGTAATTCAGTTTGTATGACACACACAGTTTGTTCTCTGACTAGTGTTATTTGGAGAAAATACTACAAGACATATAACTTTAAAAGCCCTTGAAAATAGAAATTTAAGACCATACTTGCAAATTACTCATGAGTCAAACATAATAAAATTATAAAAATATTTTAAATTAAATAAAGAAATTAATGCACATAAACACGTGTGTATTGTCACTAAAAATATGCCAAGGCAAAATTTAGAGATTCATATTTCTACTAGCAAATAAGAAATGAATTATGCATCCAACTACAGAAGGTAGAAAGAGAACAACAGCAAAACTCAAGGAAAATAGAAGTATATCATAATGTTAAGAGAAAAAATAAAGAAAAATAAAATAAACAATAAGGAGACGAAAAAAGACCCAAAGCTGATGCTTTGAACAGACTAACAAAATAAGAAATTAAAAAAGAAACCTTTGTTAAAATGCATTAAAACATTAAAAATATGAGAAGCCAATAATTCTGTGAGGTTAAATGTTTTAGAAATAGACACACTACTATGCATAGCCCACATGTTGGTAAATAAAGTGGATAAGTTTCTAAAATGAATGAAGCATATCCAGACTTTCTCAGAAAGAGTGAAAAAGTATAATTATTTAACAAATAATACATTAAATAGGCTGGGGGTGGCGGCTCACACCTGTAATCCCAACACTTCGGAGGCCGAGACTGGTGGATAGTTTGAGCCCAAGAGTCCGAGGCCAGCCTGGGCAACATGGCAAAAACACGTCTCTACAAACAATACAAAAAAAGTCAGGCATGGTGGCACGCACTTGTAGTCCCAGCTACTCTAAAGGCTGAGTTGGGAGGACCGCTTGAGCTAGGGAGGTCAGGACTGCAATGAGTCACAAGTGTACCACTGTACTCCAGTCTGGGTGAGAGTCAGACTGTGTCTCAACTAAATAAATAAACAAGTCAAAATCAACTTCCTCTCCCTTTCTCTCTCTATAAAACAAACTATATAGCTTGAACATTTTAAGAAGAAAGCTTTACCAAACTATATAAGAGGAAAAAATCTAATATTATTTAAATTATATCAGAAAATAAAAAGATACCGCACAAATCAGCTTTGATGCCAGTATAACCTTGATACCAAAACCAGAAACAAGAAACTTAGATCTTGAAAACATAAGATGAAATCTACTTATGGACATAAACTAAAAATTTCTAAATAAGATATTTGTTAACTTAATTCAGAGAATTTATGAATGTTTTCATTCTAGAAAAAGTTTTAATGTAAATCATAACACTAACAAGTTATTTTACATATATAATGTTTGTTTGTAAGACTTCCTAAAATGTTTGTGTAAACACATTAATTAAAAAATATAAATAATTAGAAAATAGGCAATCTTTTATTAATATATCACTGTTTTATTAATATGCCACCAAAACATTTAACATAATTTTTATGTAGTATATTTAAGGAATAAGACAGAAATATTTACTACCCCAATACATATTCAACATTAACCTGGATATCCTAAGCAGTTTAGTGAGACAAGACAAAGAAGAAAAACGGCCTAATTTTTTTTTTTTTTTTTTTTTGAGATGGAGTCTTGCTCTGTCACCCAGGCTGGAGTGCAGTAGTGGCGCAATCTCGGCTCACTGCAAGCTCCGCCTCCCAGGTTCATGCTACTCTCCTGCCTCAGCCTCCCGAGTAGCTGGGACTACAGGTGCCCACCACTATGCTCAGCTAATTTGTTTTTGTATTTTTAGTAGAGACGGGGTTTCACCGTGTTAGCCAGGATGGTCTGGATCTCCTGACCTCATGATCTGCCTGTCTCGGCCTCCCAAAGCCTAATTTTTGTTGTTGTTGTTATTTTTCCATCCCTCACCAGGACAGCCTCACATTTTCAAAAGTAAGACAAAAACTGTCATTGTTTTTAGATGGTCTAAATATCTACGCACGAAAACAAAAAGAATATGTGGGACAGGCACGGTGGCTCACACCTGTAATCCCAGCACTTTGGGAGACTGAGCCGGGAGGATCATCTGAGGTCAGGAGTTCGAGACCAGCCTGGCCAACATGGTGAAACAACATCTCTACTAAAAATACAAAAATTAGCCAGGTGTGGTGGCACGCAGGCACCTGTAATCCCATGTACTTGTACTCGGGAGGATGAGGCAGGAGAATCGCTTGAACCCAGGAGGCGGAGGTTGCAGTGGGCCGAGATTGCACCACTGCACTCCAGCCTGGGCAACATAGCAAGACACAAATAACATAACATAACATAACATAACATAACATAACATAACATAACATAACATAACATAACATAACATAACATAGGATGGATTAGCTATTTAAATGTATAATGGAAGAAAATTATACTTGTGAAAAAAAGTAAAATTAAATTTCTATATTATTTTTTTTAATGATACATGAATCTGATATATTACATTTTACAATCAGTTTGTCAATTTTTAGAAAAGATCCCTGCTCAGATTTTAATTGAGATTATATTGAATGAAGAGATAATTTCCATGGTATTGAATTTTTTTTTACTAATGAATCTTCAATTTGAAGACCATAATATATCTTTCATGTCAACATCTTGTACTTATGTTTTATACATTTCTGTGAAGTGTTTTAGACATTTTAGGCTTTTATGAGATTGTCAGTGATTTTTAATTATGTTTAAGCTGTTTGTTTCCAATATAAAGAAATAAAATTGATTTTAATATTTTAATCCTGTCTCAGTTTTGAAAGATTCACTTTTTAATTCTGACAGTCTATTATTATTTTCTACATAGGTAAATATGTGTCCATGAATAATGAAATTTTATTTATCCCTTATAAATTCTTAGATCTTTATTTCTCTTTTGCACTTTGTTTCATTCGTCAAGACTTTGAGTAAAATATAAAATTAGGATGACAAACTCTCTTCAGTTTACCAGGCACTTTCCAAGTTTTATCACTGAGAGCCCCATGTGCTGAAAAACATTTTAGTCTCTATAAAACTGAAAACCTTAATCACTCTGTAAGATATATGTGGATAACAGGCATTTATGTCTGTTTTTTGTTCTCATAGAGAAAAATTTTTAACATTTTACTATCAAACATGATCTGTGGTTTTGGTAGAAACATTAATCTACTAAAGATTTCCTCTTCTATTCATAATTACATTTTTTAAATCGTAAATGATGTTAGATATCATCAAAGAATTTTTCTGCACTCATCGATATAACCAAATAATTCATATTTTTTTCTATTAATTCAGTACTTTGATCAGTTTTTGAATGTGAAGCCAATCTGGCTTTCCTGCCATAAAACTTCTGTGTCATATTATTCTTTATAATTATCACTGGATTCCAATTTGCTAATAATTTGTTAAAAAGTTTGCGTCTATATACATAATAGATTGGTGTACGATATCTTTTGCATTGACCATCTTTGCAAGTTTTGATATATACATGATGCTGACTGCATAAAACAATGTGTGATATATTTTCTCTTTTTCTGATATCTGACAATATTTATGTTTGAGTGATTTTGTTTTTACCTTTTTACATATTTGATTGAATTGATCAGATCCACATCGACTGTAGTTTGCTTCGGGAGAAAGTATTCATTTGCAAATAAAATATTTTTAGTCAATATGGAGCTTTTTAAATTTCATGTGTTCATTTTGGTAACTGTTGTTTTTCAACCACTCTGACTAACATATAATATCACATCCATTGGCTCGACTCTTTTTTTTGTAATATACTCTTAAGATGTTTTGATATTTACAAGTTATGCAGTAATACATTCCTGAATTTGTGTGTATTCATGGTGTATTCTTTTTTCTGATCAGTTTTGCAACAGTGTTACCACTTTTACTACTCTATACTCCAAAAAATACCTTAGACATGGCTGATTATCTCTGTTGTATATTTGCTTGCCAGTTTATTGTTTTCAGTTTCTATTTCTTCTTTCTTCTTTGGATTTAGTTATATGTTCTTTTACTAATGTCATAAGGTGAATGCTTAATGTTTTAAGACAGATCATTGTATTTTTGACTTTGTGGTTTTCTATGTAAATGAATTTAAGACTGCAAAACTTCCTCTATGCACGTATTTTAGCTGTGTCTCACCAATTTTAAGATGTAGGATTTCCATTTTATTCAGTTCACAATACTTTATATTATTATGATTTATTCTTTGATACATAATACAACAGAGTATTTCTGATTTTCCAAAAGAATTAAGAGATTTTCCAGTTATCCTTTTGTAATTGATTACTAGCTTATTTTTATTGTAGTAAGTAGAAGAATGGACTGTACATGATACCAATCTTACAAAATTTGCTGAGACATGTTTTCAGCCCAGCAGATGGTTAAATTTGATAAAAGTTCTATAACCACTGGATAATAACATGTACTTTGCAGCTGTTGGGCAAAATAGTATTATGTATATCAGTATCTTTTCGTTAAAGTTAAATCTTCCACATTCCAACAGATGTTTTTTGTGTGTTCTTCCTCTTAGACACCCAGTCAGCTATGTTAAATCTCTCACTATGGATATTTGTCTAAATTATCTTGTTTCTGTTAAATCTTGCTCTGTATTTTAAAATTTAACTTCGTAGCTATTTGTTGCCTTCAAATAGACTGTATGTAGTTTTTTATTTTTATTTTTTCTAATTGTTCTCAGCAGAAAAGTTGTTTTGGAATAGCACACACTCCCATTGTCATGAGAGAAGTCCACTTAGTAGTATTTATACCTCTTTCATTTTTGCCTTAAAAATATTTTGAAAACCATTTTGTAATTATCTTACCTTGATATTGTAAAAAATAATTTTTACAACAAAATTTTCTGGAAAAACTCAGAGTTCTTATTTTCTATATTTATTTATCTCATCATCATTTTTAACTTTGGAGTCATAAATAACTACTCTTCATATTTTTGTTAAAAATAAAGTTAATCATAACATCTGCAAAAATAAAGGCAGTTTTAATACTGCCCTTCTAATATTCTAATATCTAATGCTTTCTTATTACAAATGATATCTCTCAGAGCATTCTTAAATAGTAGATATGAATAGTAATTCTTCCCTTCTCTTGACTTTAATGAGGATACTTCAAGTATTTTATCATGATGATTAACAGATTATTTATTATTATTTTTTTCTAGCCCTAGTTGACAAACTCTTATTTTTAAAAATCATTTGTTAGTATTGTAATACCTTTTCTATGCCATTCAAAAAATAATGTATTCTCCTCACCAGATTTTATAAGTTCAATGAATTATATCAATGTTTGAAATCATATTAAATCTATTTATAATGCAATATTCAACTTTAATTGGGAGTCTGAGGAAGATGATGGAGACAAGACACAGCTAACATGCAGCTTCCACTTGGATGGACAGAACCTGCTGAATCACACACACTGTGAACTTTTGCTCCAAGAACAGCATCAGAAACATACAGGAAAACTGAAAGAATTCACAAATCCTTTGAAAGAAGCAGCATGCCACTGCAAATTCTGCAAGATGCAAAAAACTGAGTTTCCAAAGTGTGAGAAGGGGGAAACCTGCCTCCAAACACAAATGCCTATTGGTGAATTCAAAAATCCAGATCATGGGAGAAGAATTTAACCTAAGCTAGAGCTGAAATGGATTTAGAGAGCTGTGCAAAATATAAAAGTAGAAGCAACAGTGGTGGAAAGAGCCTTATAAGCACTCAGAGTTTCCAGCTCAAGCCCAGGGAAGCCATTCCTGACTATATCTCACAGGGGCCCTCAGGGAGGACAGCCAGAGGAATTGGGGAGTGGTCACAGGTGAAAAAAGCTTCCAATTGAATTTTGTAATAATTTCAACTGTGCACAAATTTTCTTGAGCAGAATCCAAAGAGTGAACTGTAACTGCTACAGATACCAGCACAGGAGTCACCATGTTTGCTTTCTCATTGGAGAAGCTCAAGGCCTGGATCAAGTTCTAAGTGGGCACTGCAGGAACAAGACCAGCCTTGCCAGCCTCATGGGAGCTGTGTGAGGCCTTTTACTACTGGTGATCTCCCACTTTTCTGGCAAACTATATGGCACAGCAGAGGCAGCCATAGTCCCCTCTGGAACATAACTCCATTGGCCTGAAATGCCCTCCATTCCCTACTGTGGCCACAGCAGCCCCTGCCCAAGGAGCGTCTGAGAACAGACCTGCTTAATCCTGCCTCCACCTTATGGCATTTATCTACCCACCCTTATAGCTAAACACAAAAGATATAAACTGTTGGAAGCTTTGTGGCCCCACCCATCACCTAAGAAACCAGAATTACTACACTGGCCAGTGTTGGGCAAGCTCATATACCCCAACTACTACCTCAGCTAATGCTGTCTTGAAAGTACCACCTCCTGGCTGGAGTCCAACAAACTCAGGCCATTTCAGCAACTCATGACAGAATCACCCTGCTCCCAAGAAGGAGAAAACAACAGCTAATTCCATTGCCTACAAAATCCTGGCTAACTAGAGCTCCTGAGTGTCTACCTGACAACTTCACTGCTAGCATAACCAGCATTCAAGAAAGCCAGCACACTAAACCAAAGACTCTAACAGTCTACTTCACTTCCCTGCCACCTCTACCAGAGCAGTTGCTGGTATCCACGGCTGGGAGACCTGACAACAGATCCCATCACAGGACTCTGCAGACATTCCCCAGCACAAGCCTGGAAACCGATAGCCCTGCTGGCTGGTCAGACCTGGAAGAGATATAACCATCACTGCAGCTCAGCTTTCAGCAAGCCCCATCCCGAGGGGTAAAGGGGAGAGCACCACATCAGGAAATCAACCCATGAGACAAAAGAATCTGAACAGCAGGCCTTGACTTGCAGATATTTCCACTGTAATAGTCTTCCAAAATGAGAAGAAACCACAAAAGCAATTCTGATAATATGACAAAACAAGGTTCTATAACACCCACAAAAGATCACAGCAGCTCCCCAGCAATGGATCCAAACCCAGAAGAAATCTCTGAATTTCCAGATAAATAATTCAGAAGGTTGATTACTAAGCCTACTCAAAGACAAGACAGAATGGTGATAACCAACTTAAACAAATTAAAAAACATACATGATATGCATGAAAAATTCTCCAGAGAATTAGATACCATTAAAAAACTCACAACTTCTGGTAATGAAAGACACATTTAGGGAAATATAAAATGCAGTGGACAAGTTTCAACAATAGACTAGGACAAGTAGAATAAAGAACTTCAGAGCTCAAAGACAAGGCTTTTGAATTAACACAATTAGACAAAGACAAAGAAAAAAGAATGTTTTTAAAATAAGCAAAGCCTTCAAGAAATTTGGAATTATATTTAATGGCTGAACCTAAGAATAACCAGTGTTCCTAAAGAAGAAAGGAAATCTAAAAGCTTGGAAAACTTATTTGAGGGAATAATTGAGGAAAACTTTCTGGCCTTGCTAGAGATCTAGACATCCAAATACAAGAAGCTTAAATTACACCTGAGAAATTTATTGACAAAAATCATCACCTAGGCACATAGCCATCAGGTTATCTAAAGTCAAGACAAGAAAAGAATTCTAAGAGCTGTGATACAAAAACATCAGATAACCTATAAAGGAAAATTTATAAGATTAACAGTAGATTTTTCAGCAGAGACCTTACAAGCAAGAAGAAATTAGGGTCCCATCTTTAGCCTCTTGAAACAAAATAATTGTCAGTCAAGATCTTTGTATCCAGCAAAACCAAGTTTCATAAATCAAAAAAAAAAAAGATAACATCTTTTTCAGACAAATGCTGAGAGAATTCAACAAAACTAAGCGAGCACTACAGGAAATGCTAAAAAGACTCCTAAATCTTGAAACAAAACCTTGAAATACACCAAAATAGAACCTCAATAAAGCACAAATTTTACAGGACCTACAAAACAATGACATACTTTTTTTGGAGAAAAAGGTATTTAAGCAACACCTAACATAATGAATAGAATAGCACCTCACATCTCAATACTACTAATGTTGAATTTAAATAGCCTAAATGCTCCATTTAAAATATACCAAATGGCAGAATGCATAAAAATCCACTAACCAAGTATCTGCTGTTTTCAAGAGGCTCACCTAACACATAAGGACTCACAAAAACTTAAGGTAAAGGGGTCAAAAAAGATATTTTATGAAAATTGAAATGCAAGCAGGAATAGCTATTCTCATATCAGACAAAACAGACTTTAAAACAACAACAGGAAAAAAAGATACACAGTGACATTATATAATCATAAAAAGACTAGTCCAACAAGAAAATATAACAATTCTAAATATATATGAACATAACACTGAAGCTCTCAAATTTATAAAACAATTACTGTTAGACCTAAGAAATGATATAGATGGCAACATAATAATAGTGGAGAACTTCAACACTTCACTGAAAGCACTGGACGGGTCTCAAGAGAGTCAACATAGAAACAATGGACTTAAACTATAGCCTAGAACAAATCAACTTAACAGATATTTACAGAACATTCTACCCAACAACTACAGAATATACATACTTTTCTTCAGCACATGGAACATTCTCCAAGATAGACCATGTGATAGGTCACAAAACAAGTCTTGATAAATTTAAGAAAATCACAATTATATCAAGTATCCTCTCAGACCACAGTGTAATAAAACTGGAAATTAACTCCAAAAGGAACCCTCAAAACTATACAAATACATGGAAATTAAATAACATGCTCTTAAATGATCTTTGTATCAACAATGAAATCAAAATAAAATTAAAAAATTCTTTTAGCTTAACAATAATTGTGACACAACCTATCACAATCATAGCATTGAAAGCTTACATCAAAAAAGTCAGAAAGAGCTCGATTAGACCATTTAAGGTCACACCTCAAGGAACTAGAGAAACAAGAATAAACCAACCCAAACCCTGTAGAAGAAAAGAAATAACAATATCAGAGCAGAAGTAAAGGAAATTGGAAAAAAATATACAAAAGGTAAATGAAACAGAAAGCTGGTTCTTTGAAAAGATAAACAAAATTAATAGACATTAGTGAAATTAACCAAGAAAAAAAGAGAGATCCAAATAAGCTCAGTTAGAAACGAAATAAGAGATATTACAACCGATTCCACAGAAATACAAAAGATAAAAAAATTACTATGAACACTTTTAGGCATACAAACTATAAAATCTAGAAAAGATGAATAAATTCCTGGAAATATACAACTCTCCTAGATTAAATCAGCAAGAATTTGAAATTCTGAACAGACCAATAAAAAGTAGTGAGATTAAAAGAGTAATAAAACAATTGCCAACAAAAAAAATGTCCAGAACCAGATGGATTTACAGCTGAATTCTATCAGACATTGAAGGACGTGCCAATCTTACTGAAACTATTTCAAAAGATAGAGAAAGAGGGATTCCTCCCTAAATCATTCTATGAAGCCAGTATCACCCTGATAACCAAACCAAGAAATGACATAATAAAAAAAGAAAACTACTGACCAATATTCCTGATGAACATGATGCAAAAATCCTCAACAAAATACTAGCTAACTGAAACCAAGAAAATATCA